>NC_000009.12:40727957-40893967 GCF_000001405.40 Homo sapiens
GGAACAAACACTTATGTGCTAGAAACATTCCCCTTAATAACCCTTAAATACATTTTATTCTGGCTCAATTCTTTTTTTTTAAATTGACAGTTTCGCTCTTGTTGCCTGGGCTTGAGTGCAATGGCACGACCTCGGCTCACTGCAACCTTCGCCTCTTGGGTTGAAACTATTCTCCTGCCTCAGCCTCCCAAGTAGCTGGGATTACAACCAAACCAGGCTGGCTCAATTCTTTTGGCACAACTATTTTTGATCCCAGAGGCTTCTTCCCACCAAATTTAAGCCATGATGTTTTCACGTTTGTATTTTTAGTTTTATTTGCTTGTTTTCTTTTTTACTTTCTTGGAAAAGGGAGTGTCGGCTTACCTCTGTGAAATGAGATCGGCCTATTTGTAGTTTTACCCAGTAAGCTTCATAGTTGACATCATTATATTGAGTTTCCCCAGGCCACCCTGAGCTTCAGAGCTGACCATCCTACCTCATTCTTCTTGGTTTTTCAGGCTCTGATGTTAAGTCCCTCTCACTTCAAATTTGAGCTTTCAGAATGCCTCAGCTTGAAAGAAGCAGAAGAAAGTGTTGCCATATTTATTTGGATGAGGATCAAGACTTTACATCCATCATTCATAGTACAAAGCAACACTTTTAATAATGTGGACATGTTTCACTCAAATTAAATATAAGTAGTTTTATCAACATGCCAATATAGTCAAAATAAATAACTATCAAGTTTACCAAAATGTTCTGCTTTAGATTTTCCCAGCACAAAGATCAATATGTATGCATTGGTGGATGTTAGGGTTTTTTTGGTGTAGGTTTTTGTTTGTTTTTTTGTTTTTATTTTTTACAGATTTTCATCCTACTTTACACTGATGTAAATTTAACTGCCTAAGGCTTACCAGAAGCTTTATTTTACATTATTTCTACCAAAAATTCATATTTTCAAATATTAAAAGTGGCATTCTGTATTACCATTTTTCAAGTAATGTAGTCTGCATTTATTAGTATATTTCAATGTATTTTTTTTACTTGGGGTAAGGTTATAAAAATGCCTTGCAGTTGATTTTCTAGGTAAAAACGCAATCTGTTTTCTCAAAGAGTAGCATGAGAATTCTTGATATAGCACCTTCAGAGGTACTGAAAACAACCATATAATTTTGCTGAAATTTGGATTTTTTCATAATCTCTTCAGAGGCAGAGTCATGGCAACATATGACAGCTGAATTTATTCTTCTTCTCTAAATGTTGTAGAGCCACATCCACCTGTGTAAATAACACTAACTGGGTAAAAGCTTTTTTATACTAAGCCAGAAATCATTATACCTGGTGGTTTTATTTTAAATATATGAACAGTATTCTATAACATTCAAATAAGTAATAGAAATTTAATTATATATATATAGAAAGAAAAGTTATACAGGCACACTGAGAATAAATTGGAATCTAGAACTGAATGCTGATTAGCATGGCCTATAAAATCAAAAGCAAGTTAATTACTTCTAAGACACAATGAGGGTACAGGCATTGGATGAGGATGCTCCCATTCCATATAGGAGAATTGGACAAAACAAAGGGGCTAAAAGCCCCATGCAAGTCCAGAATCCAGCAGGGTATTCATTGAATTTTACAGCTCCAAAATAATCTCCTTTGACTCTATGTCTCACATTCAGGTCACACTGGTGGAAGAAGTAGACTCTCATGGTCTTGGGCAGCTCTGCCCCTGTGCCTTTGCAGGGTACAGCCCCATTCCAAGCTGCTTTCATAGGCTGGCATTGAGTGTCTGCAGCTTTTCCAGATGTACAGTGCAAGCTGTTGGTTGATCTACCATTCTGGGATCTGGAGAATAGTGGCTCTCTTCTCACAGCTCCACTAGGCAGTGCCTCAGTGGGGACTGTGTGTGAAGGCTCTGACCTCACATTTCTCTTCTGCACTGCCCTAACAGAGGTTCTCCATGAGGGCTCCACCCCTGCAGCAAACATCTGCCTGTATATCCAGGCTTTTCCTTACATCCTCTGAAATCCAGGTGGAGGTTCCCAAACCCCAATTCTTGACTTCTGTGCACTCACATGCTCAACACCACATGGAAGCCAACAAAGCTTGGGGCTTGTACCTACAGAAGCAATGGTCTGAACTGTACCTTGGCCCCTTTTAGCCACAGATGTAGTGGCTGGGACACAGGGCACCAAGTACTGAGGCTGCACAAAGCAGCAAGGCCTGGACCCTGCACACAAAGCCATTTTTTCCTCTTAGACCTCCTGGTCTGTGATGGGAAAGGCTTCTGTGAAGGTCTCTGACATGCCCTGGAGACATTTTCCCCATTGTCTTGGTGATTAACATTAGGCTCCCTGTGGCTTATGCAAATTTTTGCAGCTGGCTTGAATTTTTCCCCAAATAATGGGTTTGTCTTTTCTATAGCATTATCAGGCTGCAAATTTTTCCAAACTTTTATGCTCTGCTTCCCTTTTAAACGTAAGTTTCAATTTCAGATAATCTAAGTTCAAAGTTCCACAGCTCTTTAGGGCAGGGGGGAAAATGCTGCCAGTCTCTGCTTAAGCATAGCAAGAGTGACCTTTGCTCTAGTTCCCAATAGGTTTCTCATCTCCATCTCCAGACCCAAAGTCGCTTTTACATTGCTGGGTATCTTTACAGCAGTACCCAACTCTACCAGCACGAATTTACTATAATAGTCCATTCTCACACTGCAATAAAAATCTTCCCAAGACTGGGTAATTTATAAAGCAAAAAGGTTAAATTGACTCACAGTTACTCATAGCTGGGGAGGCCTCAGGAAACTTACAATCATGGCAAAAGGCAAAGGAGAAGCAAACTGGACCTTCTTACATGGCAGCAGGAGAAAGAACATGTGTGTGCAGAAAAAACTTCGATTTATAAAACCATCAGAATTCATGAGAATTCACTCAGTGTCACAAGAACAGCATGGGGGAAACCACCCCCCATGATCCAATCACCTCCCACCAGGTGTGTCCCTTAACACCTGGGGATTACAATTCAAGAAGAGATGGGGGCACACAAAGCCTAACCATATCTATCATAAAGACATAGTCCCAATTCCCTGATATCTCTGCTTCCTGACCCCTGTGTGAGACAGGCTATGTGTGTCCCAGAATGGCCTGTTTCTCTTGATTTGGGGGGCAGTGTGTTAAGCACCTTTCAGCAGAATTCACCTTCCCTTTATGAATTAAATCCTAGGCACAATTCACAATGCCAGCTCTCAATAAATTTGTTACTGTAATTTGTTTCCAGAAATGATATCAGAGCAGAAACACAAAGCAAAAGAAACCAAAAGATAGGTCATGCTGAATGGTTGGAAAGTATATTTATGAAAGAGCTATGCTTCACAAAAGCATCTTTGCTATGATTCAAGGGATAAATCATTAAACACCAACCCCATCATATCCACATAAATTCAGCAATCTAGAGACTGTTGGTCTTTTTTCTTTTCTGCATTATGTTTCTGCTCTCAGTAAAGCAAGGTTTTAATTGTAATATTGAAGCATTGGAAATTTAACACCAAGATATTTTCAAAACTAAGTGTTTTTTTGTTTGTTTTTGTTTTTGTTTTTTTTTGACAGAGTCTCACTCTGTCATCCAGGCTAGAGTGCAGTGGTGTGATCTCAGCTCGCTGCAAGCTCTGCCTCCCAGGTTCATGCCATTCTCCTGCCTCAGCCTCCTGAGTAGCTGGGACTACAGGTGCCCACCACCACACCTAGCTAATTTTTTTTTTTTTTGTATTTTTAGTAGAGACGGGGTTTCACCATGTTAGCCAGGATGGTCTCGACCTCCTGGCCTCGTGATCCGCCTGCTTTGGCCTCCCAAATTGCGGGGATTACAGGCATGAGCCACCACGCCTGGCCAAAACTAAGTTTTAATTATAATAGGAAAACTAATGCGAGGCCAGAAATTGTTGACTTTGTTCACAGAATGCTAATTTTCCCCAGACAAAATATGCAGAGCTATGTTTCATTAATATGCAGATCTATGTTTTATTACCAAAACACACTATTGCCAAATGCACAAAAGGAAAAAAGATATTTGTACCCTGTGCTAAAACAGATTCATTTGTGGTATTTATATGACAAAACTGGAATTATTTCAACCTGGAAATCATTGTTTCAAATTTCCATGGTTAAAGGTTTGCTCAAGCAAATCTTAAAACACAGGTATGTATTTCAGAAGATCAACCAAATTCAAGTTTGCATCCCATTTTGGGTACCTTGTAAATAGAAATTTCAAAATCTTCCTCAAAAATGTCTGCATTTGTTTTCCAGATTCTTGCAACCCAAAACAAAACTTCACAGAAACTCTGCACAAGAGTTGGTAGACAGCTAAACCTTCTCTAAATTGAGTTATGGACAATAAGGTCTTGATTATAGCAGAACTGGAAGGTCTATTTACAAGCCTGCACACAGTGCTGTGTAAATTGGCTGCTGGGGCACATTGATTGGCAGGGAAAGGCCAGGGAGGCAGTTGAATCCCTGGCATTTTTCAAAGCTTTTTTCCTAGTTTCATTGTTCCTAGAATTTTGAAGCTTGTTAAGACATTCCCTATCCTATGTCATACTCTAGAGCACTCTAGTCAGAATCCTGATAGAATACACTCTTTTTTTTAAAAGTGTACATTTCAATGATTTTTAATAATTTTTTTATACTTTAAGTTCTCAGGTACATGTGCACAACGTGCAGGTTTGTTACATATGTATATATGGGCCATGTTGGTGTGCTGCACCCATTAACTCGTCATTTACATTAGGTATATCTCCTATTGCTATCCCTCCCTTCTTCCCCCACCCCACAACAGGACCTGGTGTGTGATGTTCCCCTTCCTGTGTCCAAGTGATCTCATTGTTCAATTCTCACCTTTGAGTGAGAACATACAGTGTTTGGCTTTTTGTTCTTGTGATAGTTTGCTGAGAATGATGGTTTCCAGCTTCATTTGTGTCCCTACAAAGGACATGAACTCATCCTTTTTCATGGCTGCATAGCATTCCATGGTGTATATGTGCCACATTTTCTTAATCCAGTCTATCACTGATGGACATTTTTGTTGGTTCCAAGTCTTTGCTATTGTGAATAGTGCCGCAGTAAACATATGGGTGCATGTGCCTTTATAGCAGCATGATTTGTAATCCTTTCGGTATATACCCAGTAATGGGATGGCTGGTTCAAATGGTATTTCTAGTTCTAGATCCTTGAGGAATCACCACACTGTCTTCCACAATGGTTGAACTAGTTTACAGTCCCACCAACAGTGTAAGTGTTCCTATTTCTCCACACCCTCTCCAGCACCTGTTTTTCCTGAATTTTTAATGATAGCCATTCTAACTGGTGTGAGATTTTATCTCATTGTGATTTAGATTTGCATTTCTCTGATGACCAGTGATGATGGGCTTTGTTTCATGGTCTGTTGGCTGCATAAATGTCTTCTTTTGAAAAGTGTCTGTTCATATCCTTCACCCACTTTGTGATGGGGTTGTTTGTTTTTTTCTTGTAAATTTGTTTGAGTCTTTTGTAGATTCTGGATATTAGCCCTTTGTCAGATGAGTAGATTGCAAAAATCTTCTCCCATTCTGTAGGTTGCCTGTTCATTCTGAGGTAGTTTCTTTTGCTGTGCAGAAGCTCTTGAGTTTAATTAGATCCCATTTGTCAATTTTGGCTTTTGTTGCCATTGCTTTTGGTATTTTAGACATGAAGTCCTTGCCCATGCCTATGTCCTGAATGGTATTGCCTAGGTTTTCTTCTAGGGTTTCTATGGTTTCAGGTCTAACATTTAAGTCTTTAATCCATCTTGAATTAATTTTTGTATAAGGTGTAAGAAAGGGATCCATTTTCAGCTTTCTGCATATGGCTAGCCAGTTTTCCCAGCACCATTTATTAAATAGGGAATTCTTTCCCCATTTCTTGTTGTTGTCAGGTTTGTCAAAGATCAGATGGTTGCAGATGTGTGGTATTATTTCTGAGGGCTCTGTTCCGTTCCATTGGTCTATATTTCTGTTTTGGTACCAGTACCATGCTGTTTTGGTTACTGTAGCTTGTAGTATAGTTTGAAGTCAGGTAGCGTCATGCCTCCAGCTTTGTTCTTTTTGCTTAGGATTGACTTGGTGATGCGGGCTCTTTTTTGGTTCCATATGAACTTAGTAGTTTTTTCCAATTCTGTGAAGAAAGTCATTGGTAGCTTGATGGAGATGGCATTGAATCTATAAATTACCTTGGGCAGTATGGCCATTTTCACGATATTGATTCTTCCTATCCATGAGCATGTAATGTTCTTCCATTTGTCTGTATCCTCTTTTATTTCCTTGAGCAGTGGTTTGTAGTTCTCCTTGAAGAGGTCCTTCACATCCCTTGTAAGTTGGATTCCTAGGTATTTTATTCTCTTTGAAGCAATTGTGAATGGGAGTTCACTCATGATTTGGCGCTCTGTTTGTTGTTGGTGTATAAGAATGCTTGTGATTTTTGCACATTGATTTTGTATCCTCAGACTTTGTTGAAGTTGCTTATGAGCTTAAGAAGATTTTGGGCTGAGACGATGGGGTTTTCTAAATATACAATCATGTCATCTTCAAACAGGGACAATTTGACTTCCTCTTTTCCTAATTGAATAATCTTTATTTCTTTCTCCTGCCTTATTGCCCTGGCCAGAACTTCCAGCACTATGTTGAATAGGAGTGGTGAGAGAGGACATCCCTGTCTTGTGCCAGATTTCAAAGGGAATGCTTCCAGTTTTTGCCCATTCAGTATGAAACTGGCTGTGGGTTTGTCATAGATAGCTCTTATTATTTTGAGATACATCCCATCAATACCTAATTTTTTGAGAGTTTTTAGCATGAAGCATTGTTGAATTTTCTCAAAGGCCTTTTCTGCATCTATTGAGATAATCATGTGGTTTTTGTCATTGGTTCTGTTTATATGCTGGATTACATTTATTGATTTGCGTATGTTGAACCAGCCTTGTATCCCAGGGATGAAGCCCACTTGATCATGGTGGATAAGTTTTTTGAGGTGCTGCTTGATTTGGTTTGCCAGTATTTTATTGAGGATTTTTGCATTGATGTTCATCAGGGATATTGGTATAAAATTCTCTTTTTTTGTTGTGTCTCTGCCAGGCTTTGGTATCAGGATGATGCTGGCCTCATAAAATGAGTTAGGGAGGATTCCCTCTTTTTCTACTGATTGGAATAGTTTCAGAAGGAATGGTATCAGCTCCTCTTTGTACCTCTGGTAGAATTCAGCTGTGAATCCATCTGGTCCTGGACTTTTTTTGGTTTATGTCCAATCATAAATTTATATCCAGAATACATGAAGATTTGTAGGAAATTTTTATATATTCTGGATATAGGTTTTTGATTGGACCTAAACATTGCAGATATCTTCTCCCAATTTAACTTGTCTTTTCTTTCTCTTAATGGTGACTTCGTTAATACCAATTTCTTAATTTTAATGTAGTTCAATTTATCAGACTTTTTCTGTGTAGTTAACGCTTATTTAGTCTTGCTTAAGAAATTTTTGTCTACCCCATTGTCATAAAGATATTCTTCTATGTTACAGAAGCTTTTTTTAAAAATTTTTAACATTTCAGATTGAGCTTTATAACCCACCTACGATTGACTTTTGTTTGTGACACAAGACAAGGGTTAAAGTCTTTTATTCTCCCATATTGATATCCAAATTATCTACCACCATTTATTGAGAAGATTATTATTTCCTCACTGCACTGCAGTTTCACCCTTGTCATAAATCAGGTGATGGTGTAAGTATGAGTTTGTTTTTTGTTTCTCTATTTGTATGTCCTGCTAATACCATCTTATTTTAATTGTAATAAAGTTGGAGACATCTGATGGTATACATTCTTGAGCTCTGTTCTTCTTCAGGACTTTCTTGGTTCTTCTTGTCCTTTTAAATTTTCAAAAAAATTTTAAATTAGCTTGTCAATTTTCAAATTACCTGATAGGATTTTGAGTAGGATTGCATTCAACCATAATTTAATGAGTAGAAATGACTTATTTACAATATAAAATCTTTCTATTCATAAACATTGTGTGTCTTTTTTATGTATACAATATTTATATCTGTTTTAAAAATTTTACTTTAAGTTCTGGGATACATGTGCAGAATGTACAGGTTTGTTACATAGGTATACATGTGCTGTGGTGGTTCGCTCCATCTATCAACCTGTAATCTAAGTTTTAAGCCCCACATACATGAGGTATTTGTCTAATGCTCTCCCTCCTCTTCCCCTCCAACCCCTGACAGGCCTCTGTGTGTGATGTTCCCCTCCATGTGTCCATGTGTTCTCATTGTTCAACTCCCATTTATGAGTGAGAACATGCACTGTTTGGTGTTCTGTTCCTGTGTTAGTTTGCTGACAATGATGGCTTCTAGTTTCATCCATGTCCCTGCAAAGAACATGAACTCATGATTTTTTATGGCTGCATAACATTCCATGGTGTACTCTAATTTGTACATGTACAAATTAGAACTCAGGATTAAGAAACTCACTTGAAACCACACAATTATATGGAAATTGAACAACCTGCCCCTGAATGACTACTGGGTAAATAACGAAATTAAGGCAGAAATAACAAAGTTGTTTGAAACCAGTGAGAACAAAGAGACAACGTACCAGAATCTCTGAGACACAGCTGAAGTAGTGTTAACAGGGAAATTTATAGCACTAAATGCCCACAACAGAAAGCTGGAAAGATCTAAAATCGACCCCTTAATATCACAATTAAAAAACCTAGAGAAGAGTAAACAAATTCAGAAGCTACCAGAAGACAAGAAATAACTATGATCAGAGTAGAACTGAAAGAGATAGAGACACGAAAAACCCTTCAAAATATCAGTGAATCCAGGAGATTAACAAAATAAATAGACCACTAGCTAGACTAACAGAGAAAAAAGAGAAGAATCAAGTAGACATAATAAAAAATGATAAAGGGGGCTGGGTGTGATGGCTCATGCCTGTAATCCCTCTACTAAAAATACAAAAATTTGCTGGGTGTGGTGGTGTGTGCCTGTAGACCCAGCTACTAGGGAGACTGAGGCAGAAGAATTGCTTGAACCCCAGAGGTGGAGGTTGCAGTGAGCCGAGATAACACCACTGCACTCCAGCTTGGGTGACAGAGTGAGAGTCCATCTCAAAAAAAAAAAAGAATGATAAAAGAGGTATCACTATTGATCCCACAGAAATACAAATTACCCTCAGAGAATACAATAAACACCTCTCTGCAAATAAACCTGAAAATCTAGAAAATATGGATATATTCCTGGCACATACACCCTCCCACGACAAAATCAGGAAGAAGTAGAATCCCTGAATAGACCCATAACAAGTTCTGAAATTGAGACAGTAATGAATAGCCTACCAACCAAAAAAAGCCCGGGACCAGATGGATTCATAGCTGAATTATACTGGAGATATAAAGAAGAGCTGGTACCATTCCTTCTGAAACTATTCCAAACAATGGTAAAAGAGGGACTCCTCCCTAACTCATTTTATGAGGCCAGAATCATCCTGATAGGAAAACCTGGCAGAGACACAACAAATAAAGAAAATTTCAGGCCAATAGCCCTTATAAACATTGATGTGAAAATCCTCAATAAAAGACTGGCAAAATGAATCCAGCAGCACATACAAAAGCTTATCCACCATGTGCAATACTTTTTTTAAAGGCATGCTTCAATAAAGAAACACTTCTATTTAGTCAGGAGACTATCTCTTTGAGTCTAACATAGATTACAGCCTTGACATGAATAAGATTCTTCTTTTATGTAGTCAATAAATGTTTACTTACAGCCTATTTTATGCTGGGTAGTATTATGGGAACTGGAGAGAGAAGGTCTGTCTTTATGGAGCTTGCAGTATAGTGACAGAGATAGAACATAAATGCACAAACAGTTGCACACTAAAGTGATGGATGTACTAAGCGCTATGAAGAAATATAATAGCCAAGTGTGGTGGTGCTCACCTGTGGTCCCAGCTACTTGGGAGGCTGAGACAGGCGGTCTGTTTGAGCCCCAGAGTTTGAGGCTGCAGTGATCCATGATTGTGCCACTGCACCCCAGCCTTGGTGACAGAGTGAGACCCTGTCTAAATAAAAAGTATAATAATACAAAGAAAATAAGGTAGGGTAATCACATTCAGGGTGTCAGGGACTGCTACTTTAGATAGAGAGCTCTGGAACAATCTTTTTGAGGAGATGACACTTGAGCAGGTCAGAATGGTATGACGGAGTGAGTTAAGCGAATGTCTAGAGGGCAGAGAGAAGAGACACTGTGCAGAGTCTGAATACAGACAGCACTTGATGAGCTCAAAGATCACTACAAAGACCAGTCAGGCTGCAGGCACTGGGAGGCGGAAAGGAGAATGCACACTCTGAGGAGCAGATAAATACAGACCATAGTAAAGAGCTTGGATTTCTTTGTTAATTGTCATAGGTAACCACTGGAGGATTCAGAGCTGGGAATGAAATGGTATAAGATATGTTCTTACAGGAATAGTCCAGCTTTGTGGGAGAATAGATTACAGATTACCATAAATAGAATAATAAGAAATGCAAAGGCAGCTTAGAAATGATTATATCTGTCCAGGGGTTGATACTGGTGGTGTTAGAACTGTGAGGTCCCGTATGATAGCCACCAGATGCATTTAGTTTTTTACATTTAAATTAATTAAAATACCATAAAATTTATTCCTACCAGGGACTTGGGAGGAAAGGGAGAATGAGGAGTTATTGCTTAATGAGTACAGAGTTTCAGTTTGGGGTGAAAAAACTTTTTGGAAATACATAGTTTTGATGATTGCACAACATTATGAATGTAATTAATGCCTCCGAATTTTATGTTTAAAATGGCAAAGCTTATTACATAGGCTTTACCACAATAAAACATTATAAAATTAATCATAGAACCAAAACTCTAAAACCATTTTTTAAAATTGTATAAATTTAAGGAGTGCAAGTGCAATTTTGTTACATGGGTATATGGGGTAGGAGTGAAGTCTGAGCTTTTAGTGTGTTTATCACTGGAACAATGTACACTGTATCCACTAAGTAATTTCTCATCACCCTTCCCCTTCCCACCCTCTCACCCTTCTGAGTCTACAGTGTCTTATCATTTTACACTCTTTGTTCATGTTTACGCATTATGTATTTCCCATTTTTAAGTAAGAACATGCAGTATTTGATTTTATGTTTCTGAATTGCAAAACTATAAAACTCTTAGAATAAAAAATAACAATAAATCTTTATGGCCTTGGATTTGGCAGTAGTTTCTTAGATATGGCACCAAAAGCACAGTGTTAAAAGAAAATGTACTGGGCTTCATCAAAATTAGAAACATTTGTGTTTCAAAGGACGTAACAAAGAAAATAAAACGACAACCAGAAAAGTGAAGAAAATGTTTGCAACTTATATATTTGATTAGAAATCTGTATCCAAAATGCACAAATAAATTTTACAGCTCAACAGTAAAAAGGAAAAATACATAAAAATAGGCAAAATATTTAAATAGACATTTTTGTGAAGAAGATATAAGAGTGTCCAATAAGGGCATGAAGAAAAAGCCTAACATCACAAGCCATCAAGAAAACGCAAAATCAAAACCACAAGCAGATATCACTTAACACCCACTAGTGTACCTACAATAAAAAATGACAAATGGTTGGGTGCGGTGGCTCACGCCTGTAATCCCAGCACTTTGGGAGGCTGAGGTGGGTGGATCACGAGGTCAGGAGATCCGGAACATCCTGGCTAACATGGTGAAATCCGTCTATACTAAAAAATACAAAAAATTAGCCGGGCGTGGTGGCAGGCGCCTGTAGTCCCAGCTACTCAGGAGGTTGAGGCAGGAGGATGGCGTGAACCTGGGAGGTGGAGCTTGCAGTGAGCTGAGAGTGCACCACTGCACTCCAGCCTGGTGAGGCCATTGAGAAATTAGATCTTTCATACATTGCCGGTGGGAAAGTAAAATAGTGCACACTTTGGAAATCTGTGAGGTGATTGCTGAAACGGTTATACATAGGTACCTTACGACCCAGCAATTCCATTCCTAGGTACATACCCAATAGAAATGAAAACTTTTGAATGAAATATACAAAAGTTTGTACCTAAATATTATAGCGGCATTATCATAATTCTGAATAATACATACTAAATCGAAGGGATATTAAAAGTAATATTGATGAAATAAAATTAGAAATATATAAAATTTTTACCAGTGATTGATTGAGCTGATTCAAATTACTTCTTACAGTCTTCAATTCCACATTTTGTACATTCAGAGAGTGAGTTCAAGTTGCTTCACTTCTAACTTTTTCTTTTGCTGCTCTTCGAATTTTCCTAATTCTTCCCTAATTTTTTCATTTAATGTATTGGCATTTCTTCTCTTCTCTTCTTGTTTTAAAGTCACTCTGCCATTAAATATACTTATCTTAAAATTCATTTTGTTAGAAAATAGAATTCACTTTGAGATCTACTTCTTCCTATATTGGTTTATTATTCCAATAAAATTCCTATATTCTTGAATACGTTTTTCCTTTCTAGTTCTGAGGTATTTAATTTATTACTGAACTCTCTTCCAAATGATACACATACTTGAAAAATAGTGAAAAAAAAACATCTTCTAGTTAGAAAGATTCTGTTACTAGTAACTTCAACAACTGTTACAGAAAAGAATACTGGAAGCTATCCAGTAAAGTTATAAGTTGAAAATTATTATTTTAAAAATATAACAGTCAAAATTACTCCTCAATGAGGACAGATCATTTAGAGTTAACTAATTAAAATGACGTTACTTTTTATAAACAAGTTTACATATTTATTAGACATAAATATTCATCTTTAAAAAATAAGGCAAATATCCTTAAACATAATTATAATATTAAAATCTGAGACTAGGCTGAAGAATCTAATATCTGTTATCCCATATATCTTTTGTTTCTTTTTTTAGTAATACTTTAAATGTATCTTGTTGATTATTTTATATTTTATCAACAAATTTTAAATCTCTTTTAGAATAAGACAGAATATTATATTTAATTAAAAAATAAAAATAATAAGTGTTTTTAACATAGAATTCTGAATTGATTTTATTTATGTAGGAGAGAGAGAGATGTTGAATATACTAGTCATAAATTACTCTATATTTTTCTTTATACTCCATGCATATTAAGATTTCAAGTGTATAATTAAAGGAAAATGATTATTGGGGGTAGAGGAATGGCCGTTTCACACTCTCTTTGTTGAACTATAAATGAATATAAATTTTCTTGAGAACAATTTAGAAGTAATGAACAAAGAACTTCTTAAAACTTCCTATAATTTAACCAAATATTTTTATATTGAATAATTTATTCCAAGTCAATAATTAGAATGGTAGAAAAGGATTTACATGCAATTATGCCTTGCAGCACTTATTATAACACAAAAAAATTAAAAATAAAAAAAATAATTTTTTAAGTAAATAATGGGGTTTCCAAATAATGGCCTTCTATGTAGCCATTAAAATTGTGATTTAAATAAATATGCATTTAATTATCAGGAGATGTATTCACAGTTAATAACTTGTATTATTTAAATGGATTTGACACTACAAGACAGAGATTTCTTTCTCTAGTTAAACCTCAGAAGGTAAGTCAGCTAGTACTAAAAGTATCCTATATACTAGTATGTCATACCTCACACTGCAGAGCTCTTGTTCTCTTTTAACTTTTTGATTCTCTATGATTTTATTTCTTTTGGTTCTGATAGTTCCTTTTGTAGTACACGAAGCTTTTTTTTCATTTGTTTCATTTTTGCTGTAAGTTGTTCACAGGGATTTTTTTTTTCTTTCTTTTTTTGACGGAGTCTCACTCTGTTGCCTAGGCTGGAGTGCAGTGGCGCGTTCTCCACTCACTGCAAGCTCCGCCTCCTGGGTTCACGCCATTCTCCTGCCTCAGCCTCCTGAGTAGCTGGGACTACAGGCACCCGTCACCACGCCCGGCTAATTTTTTTGGTATTTTTAGTAGAGACGGGGTTTCACTGTGTTAGCAAGGATGGTCTTGATCTCCTGACCTCATGATCTGCCGGCCTTGGCCTCCCAAAGTGATGGGATTACAGGCGTGAGCCACGGCGCCTGGCTCACAGGGATATTTTTTAAGTTCCCTTGCTCTTTCACAAGAAAGAATTGCATCCAAGAATTTTGATAGGCTAGTTGAATCTGTCTCCAGGAGGAGATAGAAATAAAATATATAAGTACTTTTGGGATATAAAGAACTGCATATTTTAAAAATCACTAATTCATACACTGAACAAATATATATTGTTTGCCTACCTCGTGGAAGGCATTATACTAAGCTCTGCAGATTAAACAGAAAAAAACAAAAACCTCTGCCTTTGTTTAACTTAAAATGTACTAAAAGACGAAGCCCCAGAAAAGTGACAGTTATAAATTCAGATAGATACTGTAAGAAAACAGATTGCTAAGAATTAGATCTATACTAGGCTCATGGAAAATTCCCCCGAGGAATGTATAGCTACACTGAGGAATGAAGAATGAAAAGGAAGCAGTTGAGCAAACAGGGAAGGAAAGCATTTTAGCCAGTCTGTGGCATGTGCTGAAACTCTAGTGTAGTCTGCCTCTAGCCAAGGGAGAGCAACAGGTATGATTTTTCTTCATAGCTAAAATAACTAGAATCAAAACACACAAAATACAGTAAACAATTTTTCAGACACTGGACATTGGGCAAAGAGATAATAATCCCTGAAAAACAGAAAAAAAAAAAAACACGAAAGAAAGCAAACCTTATGAATGTTTCAGCTTCCTGCCTTGACAGAGATTCCGAGACATGACACAGGAAGAAAAAACTGAGGTGGGATCTACCAGACTCTCTTGGTTACATTGATGAAGCTTAGAGTCTGGTAAAACCAAAGCAGACAGATATTACAGAACAAACACTGAGGAGGAGAGAGAGATACAGAATCAATGGCAAGAAACCCCCTGTCAATATTTAGCAAAATTTTGGAAATTGCATGTGAGCTAGAAAACTACCTAAGAACAAACCAGGTGGGGGTGGGGGGTGGCCTATAAAATTATAGGAAATCACAACTGGTGTTCACACAGCGCCAAGAAGAGCATCTATTTTTATAGATTTGCCTGGGAAAACTGAGACTTCACAGGAGAATGAATACTCAGAAAGGCCTTGCCTCAGGTATGGGGAGTTAGCTCATACCATAAAAAGAAAAATGAAAAGGATCAAGCTCTTTATAAGTAACTCAACTCTATTCTACCATAAAATTCAAGAAGATAAGTAAAGCAGTAGAAGATACTTTTAAAAATCAAATTACACTTGTAGAGATACAAGTTACAATGCTGGAGATGAAAGCTGCACTGAGTAGATATGAGCATAGATTAATTCGCCATCATGAAATAAAAGAGTCACAAATTTGAGACACTAGTGAACTATGAGCAAACTTCCAGCAGGTAATATATAAGTCCCCAAAGAGGTAGGAGGAGAGGCAGAATAAAAAACTTGAGAAAAAAATTGGCTAAATATGTTTTAAACTTAACGACAGCCATAATCCCACAGATCTAGGCTGGGATCTGGCTGATAGAAAAGAAATGAAAATATGGTTGTAATTTCTTATACCGTCTATGATATGATATAATATTACTTGAAGGTGGATTGTGATGAGGTAAATTCATACACTATAAATCCCAAAGCAACTACTAGGACAGCAAAGAGTTATACCTAATACCAAATAAACTTATACCAAAAAAGATATGACTAAATCATAAAGAAATGTAACACTAGATTAATAACTAAAAAAGTTATGCATGTACAGATATGTAACTAAATCATAAAAATTACTAAACTAGTCTGAAGGAAGCAGAAAAAGGAAAAAAGCAAAGCAAAGAAGATCTGGGACTAATAGAAATCAAACAGTGTGATGACAGACAACTCTAATCATATCAATAATTACATTATAAATTAAACTGCTCTAAAAACCTCTACTCAAAGGCAGATTGTCAGAATGGATAAAAAAGCAAGTCTTACCTGTATAATGCATATAAGAAATAAACTTTAAATATAAAGACAAAAATTAGTTAAAAGATGAAACAAGATATACCACACTAACACTTGACAAAAGAAGGCTGAGGAAGAGTGGTTGTATTAATACCAAAGTACATTTCATAGCAAAAATATTACCAGCAATATACAATGTCATTTTATAGTGACAAAGGGTTCAATTAATCAAGAAAACATAACAGTCCTAAATATTTATGTACATAATAACATAAATGCTTCAAAATACATGATACAAAAATTGACAGAACTGCAAAAGAAATAGACAAATTCCCAAGTATAGTCTAAAATCTCTAAACCCCTTACTCAAGCCGTATAGGGAGGCAGAAAATTCTGGAAAAATGTTGGCATGTGTACTCACCAGTCTAGACATTTTCCCACTCCCTGTGTATGTATGCTGCTTTAGTTACAAAAAGTTAGGTAGGATCTTGGGAGATTTCTTCTTGGATACCAGAAATATCAACCACATCAAAAGTATACCTAACAACTCTAAAATAATTCTTTTGAACAGATTACCACTGAAGAACTTGTAAGTTAAATCCAGTAGACTTTTGAGTAATTTTACTGCTTGAAATTCTCACATTTAAAAGAAATTTGTAACATCACTTTCTCAGACTCCTCTTCTACGTTTCTTTAACCACTGCTCAGTCTCCTTTACCAAGTCCTTTGACTCTTGTGAAATGTTGATATTCCCAGGGTTTTGTCAATGGCTTTCTTTTTATTCTACATCTACTGCCTCATGGATAAGCTCATTGAGATCTATGGCTTTGCCTAATAATTATAATAAAAGTATTCTAAGCCTGCATCTTCAAGCAGAGTTCTATCTCCAGCTAGAAATGCATATAATCCAATTGCCTACTGAAAGTATCCCACAAGAATGTTTCGTTGAACTCAATATGTAAAGAAAACTGTTGGTCTGTCTCATGACTGTTTGCACTTCTCTGTTAACCTGAGAAATTCCTACTCCTTCCCCATGATCATTGTAAATGCTTGTGCACAATCTGAAAACTTATGAATGACCTGAGATTTTATCTGTCCCCTAGCTTTTTAAACTCAATTATCACTAAGCCATATTAACTGCACCTCTTTTCTGCCTTTGCTTTATCTTTCCAGTGCCACTGGAAATACATACTTATTTATTTTATATTTATATTTCCTAGTTAAATGTGGCCCCTTAACTGATGGCTTTCACAGGGAAAAAAGAAACCCTACAAATTACTGTTCTTATTTTTTAAGTTAAAAAAATTAATCAAAATAAAATAATGCCAAAGAAGGACCTACATGTTTAAATGTGTAAATTGAGCTTCTGAACTTGATTCATTTTACCCTTGATGGATCAAACTTTCATAATAGATTGATACTAGGCCACAGATTTGTTACAAAAAAAAAAGACCATCGCATGAACTACTACAAAAACTTCATCTTTAAATCTTTTTATGTGATTATCCTCCATCTATCTTCTATATGAAGGGCCAGAAACTATAGGCCACAGGCCAAATTCAGCTTTCTAAATGGTTTTTTATACAAACTTTTATTGGAGTACAATCATGCCTCTTTGCCCATCCATTATCTATGACTCCTGTCACCCTACAATGGCAGAGTTGAATAGCTGTAATAGAGACCACATGGCCCATCATATTCGCTATCTGGCACTTTACAGGAAAAGTTTGCCAATCTCTGCTTTATACCATGACCAGAATGCCCTGATACTCAAATCTAATCTTGTGATTCCCCTGCTCAAACTTTTCCACTGTGTTCCTGCAGAAAACATTGCTGGCTTCCTATGCATAGTCATTATTTATTCTTTATTGCTGTAGAAACACAAGTTCATTTAGATATTTACTATTCCGTTACCCCCATCCAATCTTAAAAGAAAAATCATTATTCTAAGCTAATCACAGTAATTACATTTGCTTTCCTAGTGATTGGTATAGAAATAAGCATGTGGTATAATCCAGCCAATAAAATGTTACAGGAAGATTACTGCAAGCTTCCAAGTTTTCTTCCTATTTAAAAAAAAAAATGTGAACAAAAGCAGCACCCCCAGCCTTCAGATATTGTCTTGAGTTAGCATGATGATTGGAGCTGTTGCTAATTAGCCAACCAAGAAAGGAGACATGGACAAAACACTGCCGATAGCACAACTAATAATGGGGGTGGGGGGCAGAGTGAGATCCTATAGTATCCCTGTACCACCAAAAAAACTTTGGTTTCTATGGTTTTAGCAATTGTTAGTTAGTTCATCTAATATTTACAGCCAGAAGTATTCTGGGAATTTTTCCAGGGCCTATAGAATAAGATCTACTCATTTCTACACTATTAAAATGTGTTGCCCAAGCTTGCCTTATCTAGACATTCAAGCCATTCCCGACTACTCCCATACCACACTATTTCCACTAGGGAACCCAAAGTGCCAATAAACTCTACAAAGTTCACTCAAGCATCTTACCATGTGTACTTGCTTTTGTAGCTGTTTTTTTGTAGGACATGTGATCATCTTAGATGTTCCTTCTTCCAAAACTTCAGTTTTATTAGATGTTACTCCTGCCACGCATTCAGTCTTTACAGATGTTTCTTTTTCCTCCCATGTGGTCTTTGTAGGTCTTTCTTGTGGCCATGCAAATTTCTCAGATGTTTCTTTCACAGGCCTTGTAATTTTCCTAGGTGTTTCTCCTGCTGACTCTTCAATCTTTCCAGATATTGTTTTCCCCAAACATTGAACTTCGTCAGATGTTCCCTCCACCAAGGGTGCAGCTTCGTGTTGGAAATAACTTTTTGGTGCCACAAAGAAGAGTTAGCACTCCAACAACAAGTTAACACTCCAGCAAGGCAAATTTACTTCTATAGAAGGGTGAGTCTTGCAGATGGAGCAATGGCAAGGGCACACTGGATAAGGGAGGGGAAAGGGTTCTTATTCCTAATACAGATAGTCCCTACTGCTGTATCTTTCCCCTATTGGATAGGGTTGTACTGCACACTCTAAGCTAATTTTGACTGGCTACTTCAAAGAGGACAGGGGTGCAAGCCAGAGTGGCGGGGTGGGTAGTTTCCTCAGGAAGGATGGTTACAGAGCAGGTGACTAAGGATGACTAAGAACAGAGCAAGTGACTAAGAATGACTAAGGACAGAGTAGGTGATAGGGACTAGGAGGGGGTCATTTACTGAAACTAGGGGCAAGGAGGCATAAAGAATGAGGAAGTTAAACTTTAAATGGAGAACAAAGAACAGAGAAGCTGAACATACTGACTTATTGACTCTTTGAAGAGGAAATGAGAACTCACTGTACTTAACAATCTTCCCTCTCTTGAATTTTAAAGGATGTTAACAGGCTAAAACCTTTGAAGAGTAATTCACTGTATTCTACAATTGCCTCTTTCAATTTTTATAGCCCTTCCTCTTCAAACCTTTTTAGCATGTCTTGGATTTTTTTTTTCAACTTGATCCTCTAAAAGGAAAAGCCTATCTGAATAAGGTGGAGGACAGCTAAGGGAGGTTTTAGAAAGTGTTGTTTCTATAAGCCTTTGCACTAGCCCATGGATGCATGGTATGACACAACACCCAACAAGAATGAGTACACCAATTACTGCTGTAAGAGAAGTAAGAATTGAGGCTACAATTTCTTTCCATTTACTGAACCACCTTTCTAGCCATCTTGAGAAAGGGTTATTGACTCCAGAATTTTTAGCTAATTCATTGGATAAAGTGGTAAATCCTTGTAGGGCCCTTGTTATGCTCCCATTGGGGGCAGTGTTGTTTGCCCCCAATGGATAAAGGTACAACACTGAGTTTTAATCATAACACAAACACCACCATTTTCAGCTAATATCATAACTAGGGCCATTCTGTTTTCCCAGGCCATCTGGCTAGTGGGCCTCAATTGTTCCGCTATTCCTTTGACAACACCCCTGGTGTAATTAATAAACCACTGTTGATTATTATAGATTTAATTTATCCAATCTACATTTTTATTGTCACATACCAAAATATCAATTCAAATCCGGTAGCTATTTGAACTTGGGCTTAAATATATCTGGTACTCCTCATGGGATTCCAATAGCATCTAAATAAATGTGGGAGTCAAAAGACCCATAAAGGACTTCCCTTGCTTTACTATGTTGTGTTTTCCCTTTTTCTGGTTGATGAAATGCCAGAGTGAAAAGTATAGCCAACTGGACTAGAGCACCAGCGCTGCTCCAGTTACTTGACAGAGTGTCCTGTAAAGATCCACCACAATACCACCATAAATCTGCTCAGGATTGTATAAGGGCTGACTGATTGGTAAGCTCTTGGAAAGTCTTAAGCTTACTGCATCTTTTAGGTTTCCAAGCAAAGCTAAGTTTCCTCCTTGTTGTGAGAGACATGAAGTGAACTTAGTGTCAGGAGAAGGAAGCTGGATGGTCCTTGGGGGCTGACCTGCAAGGTGTTGAACTTTGGGATAGAGCAGAGAGAGAGATTGACATGACTTGTTACACCAGGCTGTGGAACCCTGGAAAAGAGCTACCATACAGCCCATGCCTCGTTGACTGAAGGACCATCCTAGTGGAAAGGGAACAATCTGGGCCTCTGGTCTGCTGTGTGCACAAGCATAACAATTGCTTTTGTTTAAAGTGCGAATGGAGTATTTGATCCATTCCAACCAGGCATTCACATCTTGATATCCTGTCTCAGTTGCCAAAGTTTGTTTTAGGTCTTTAACTTTTACAATAGCTACCTTGGTCTTCTCATTAGATGGAGGAGGAACAACAGTTTCATTGTGAGAGTTTTTGGAAGAAGACTTAGGGGAAGCTGTAAGCAGTAGGGGAGAAATGAAGCATATTTCAAAGAACCAATAGGGTCTGTTTCTGAAAACTCAGCTCCCATATCATAAAACCAGCTTAAAGAAGGGAATTCGCTTAGAGAAGGGGAAGAACTTTGAAGGTTTGAAATAATAACCTGTATTGAGTTGCACTAGTTTACCTGAAAGTTAGGGGGAGCTATATCTTTAGTAAAATGAAGGTATGGTTTTAGAAATTACAACTACTGGTTGGGGCAGCCATCCTTGCTCTCACTTGCATGTAGTTGGACCAACTACGTCATAAAAGCTCTGTGTCAAGGGGGCAAAACTCCCAGTTGACACTGGGGTCTTCATTGAAACTTTCCCAGACTAAATGATCCAAATTCACTAATGTCCAGTCTGAGGACAGCCAGGAAGTACAGAGGTACTTTTCTGAATTGGAGAGCTGTCTTTGACCTGACAAGTCTCCACAAGGTATAACAAGGCAAGCATCAAATGTAACAGTTTGAGGCAAAATGGGTTCCATTTTCTGAGTCAATGTTTTCTACTAGCCTAAACCTGGGCACTATATTTTCAATTAAGGCCTTAACTACATTATTGGCCATCACATTTGAAAAGGGAATAGCTTTGACCCAGTGAGTAAGGTGATCTACTGTCACTAGTAAATATTTTAGACGACCTATTGGAGGCATCTCTGTGTAATCAATCTGGATACTTTAAGTCTGGACTCCTTCTCCCAAGGGGTAATCTTTTTATAGTTTGTTAATTAGTTTTCTTACATACTAAGCAACTCTCTGTAACCTGTTTGGCCAGAGTATAAATTCCTATACACCCAAAAACTTTCAGAACAGTGTCACACATGGCTTGGGACCCCCAGTGGGTCCCTTGATGCAGTTGGGACAAGTTTTCCCTCATAAGGGGTTTGGACAACATTTCCCTCTGGTCTGGCAATATCCATTTTTCTTTTGAATTCTCCTTAGCACCTATTTTTATTAGTTTCTCTTTTCAGTGGAAGAGAAAATGGAGATTATGTTAGGAGGAAGAAGGTAAAGAGTTCAGTGAAAAATAGATGTTTTAAAAGAAATGGCAGCCTGTTTGCCTATGTAATCTGCTGGGTTATTTCCTAGACTGTCAAAAGAAAGACTTTTCTGGTGTCTGGGTCATGGACAGTCACTATTTCTTCTGGCAACTGAAGGTTATTCAATACTTGGGTGAATATCTCCTTATGAAAAAGATCTTGACGTTTACTATTAATGAGACCTCGTTCAGTCCAAATTTTTCCGAATGTATGAGCCACTCCAAAGGCGTACTTAGAATTGGTATAGATGGCTCCTTCCTGGTTCTGCAAGTACTTTAAGGCTTGGCTGAGTGCAAACAGCTCACAAGTTTGGGCAGTCCAATTCTTAGACAATTTTCCTGCCTCAATTTCTTCAAGAGTTTCTCCATCAATTACTGAATACCCATTGCATCTTTTTGCCTCAATCACCTGGGAAGAACCATCTATAAATAAGTGTCATCCCATCCTGAAGGGAGTTTCTCCTAGGTCTGGTCAGACTTTTGTATGGTAATCAGTTAAATCTAAACATGTGTGCTATCTCTTTAGATTTGGATCCCCTATTAGAAAAACTGCTGGGTTAAGGGAATTATCAGTGGTTAATGTTAAATCATCTTTTTCTAACAGAATAGTCTCATACTTTAAGATTCTTGAGTCAGTAAGCCACCTCCCTGCTATCTGGTTTAAGATAGTTCTAACTTGATGGGGCATTCTTACTGTCAATTTTCCTCCAAAGGTTAACTTCCTGCTTTCTTTGACCATTAGTGCTGTAGCCACAATGGATTGGATGTATTGAGGCCACTCACAAGTAACTGGATCTAAGACTTTTGACAGGAAGGCCACCATGGGCTGCCGATGGCCTCCGTGTTCTTAAGTGAGCACTCCTAAAGCTACCCCATTATCCACATTGACAAAAAGGTGGAATGGCTTTTCTAGGGAAGGTAAGGCTAAGAGAGGGGCTGTTATAAGCCTTTTTTTCAGCTCTTCAACCTGATCGACTTCCTCAGAAATCCACAGGAAATGGTCAGTCTTCCCCTGGGAAAGTTTTGGATATAGAATTTTACTGTTTAGTGCATGTGAGTTAATCCATAAGCAGCAGTATCCAACTAACCCTAAAAATTTCCTGAGTTCTTAAGTTTGAGGCAAGGGTAGGGACACGATTCCCTCAACTCGTTCAGGCCCTATTCTTCACTTCTCTGCACTTATCAAGTGGTCTAAATATTTAATTTCAGGTTCTACATACTGAAGCTTTCCCTTTGAGACTCATAACCCCTCGAACTGCAGATGGTTGAGAATATGTGTAGAGAAGCCAGCTACCTTCTCTATATCTTCACCAGCGTATTGGAGCAGGCATATTTGTTTGGGATGATAACTTTTTCTAATACTTGTTCTAAAATTTGACTGAAAAGGTTAGGGGAGTTTGTGAACCCTTGGGGTAAGACTATCCATCGATATTGTTGTTTCTACCCTGAATGGGGATCCTCCCACTCAAAAGCAAATATATCTGGCCTATCTTCTGCCAGGAGACATGCCCAAAAAGCATCCTTCAAATCTATTACAGTAAACCATTGATTATTATATGGAATCTTGCTGAGAATGCTGTAAGGATCGAGGACAATGGGGTGGGTAGTTTGGACTATTTGGTTAATAGCCCTAAGGTCCTGTACCAGCCGGTATGACCCATGTGATTTCTTGACTGGCAATATTGAGGTGTTATAAGGGGACATAGAGGGCTCAAGAAGCCCATCTTTAATAAGACCTTCAATTATAGGTTTCAACCCTATCCTGCCCTCTAGGGGAATGGGGTATTGTTTCCTCCTTACTACTTCCCTGGGGATTTTTAGCTTCATGTGCTTGGAGGGACTCAGAGTTTCTCTCAGTTTCCTTCTTTGGATCAGACATTAGGATTAATATATTTTTCATCTGCAGTGGTGAGTAGCTTTAATGAAGTGAGGAATCCTCTTGGGCTGAGCTGCAGGTCTATGCCTAACTTCAACATTAAATCCCTCCCTAGTAAATTAGTCCCTGCTTTAGGGATTAACAAAAACTGAATATGAGCTGATTGAGCCTGGTATCTGACTGCTGTGTTTTCTAAAATTTTTGCTTTAAATCCTTCTCCCTTTACCCCACAAACCAAAAGTTCCTCTGAAGAGCAGGCAATTTAGATGGGGGGAAAACAAACAGAGGATCGAGCCACTCCTGAATTGACTAAAAAGGTTATAAACTCATGCTTAGGTCCCACTTCTAGACTTATCAAGGGCTCCTGGTGGAACTCAAGATAAAAGAGACAGAACCCCTGACCCCATTATTCTTCCTCAAAAGCCATGAGTGGAAGGGCTTCTTTTTCCTTTTCTAATTTGGGACATTCTCTCTTGAAGTGGCCTGTTCTTCCACATTTGTAGTGCCTACCTTGCCCTTCCTCACTCTCAGTTCTGGGATTCTTTGATTTTACTCCCCCATACTATTTAGATGGCCTGGTAGATGAGAGCCTTGAACCTCCCAATGGAGGCTTGGGTCCTTTAAAGGAGGGTTTGGAACCTTTATAGTTTCTGGCCCACTGGAAGCTTTGTTTAGGGGTACATGGGTTTGGAGCGATCTGTTAGAAGGTGAATAACATAAGTTTTGTCTTTTGTTTTTGCTTTTCTTCGTCTCTCTTTACAGATACTTTTTGAGTCTCTCTGAGAAGTTCACTTGAGGTCAGTTTTCCCAATCTTCTAATTTTTGTAACTTTTTTGAAATATCTGGACAATGTTGGCCAGGCACAGTGGCTCATGCCTGTAATCCCAGGACTTTGAGAGGCCAAGGTGGGTGGATCACGAGGTCAGGAGATTGAGACCATCCTGGTTAACACAGAGAAACCCCGTCTCTACTAAAAATACAAAAAAATTGCTGGGCGTGGTGGTGGGCGTCTGTAGTTCCAGCTACTCGGGAGGCTAAGGCAGGAGAATGGAGCAAACCTGGGAGATAGAGCTTGCAGTGAATCAAGATCGCACCATTGCACTCCAGCCTGGGTGACAGAGAGAGACTCCATCTCAAAAAAATAAAAGGAAATATCTGGACAACTTTTAGTGACAAAATGGAGCTTTAACATTCCCTGTCCCAGGGGATTTTCCAAATTTAGGCCTGCATATTGTCTCATTTGCTCCTTTAGTCTGTCTAGGAATTTCATAGTCCACTCATCTCTCTCCTGTTGTATATCAAATGCTTTAGAGAGATTTTGAGTTTGGGGTACTGAATCCCTAGTTTCTTTCATTATCATTTCCCTTATGTCTTGCATGTTTTCTTGGTGAGCTGTGTTTTTATTATCCCACTGGGGATCTTGGGCAGGGAATTTTTGGTCCGTGGTAGGAACGTTTTGACAAGGAGGGTGTTCATATTCCCAAATTGCCTTAGCAGCCCTACAGATCAGATCATTCGTCTTTCCTCCTCCGAAAAGAGGATGCCTAAGATGGACATAAACTCGACCCAAGTGTATAACTGAGGTCCCAAGAATTGATCAACCTGATTTGCCACCTCATAAGGGTCGTCTAACAATGGCTTAATTTCCTTTTTCAAACTTCAGGCTTCTGAACTGGTCAAGAGAGCATTCACAAATACAATGGTTCCTCCTCCTAGTGGCATGTCTTTTAAGGGGAAGAGAGTTGGGGCTGACTCCTTATGTGTGGAGAGAAAAGGGAAGTTCTGAATGTCCTTTTTACATTGCTGTACCTCATGCTGGAGTCCCTTTAGGGAGAGGTATTTAGGTTGACAGGGGACAGGCTCATGGGATGATAACTCCCAAGAATTAGATGTAAGGAGGAGGAACAGCTTGAGCAGGAGAAGGATCTGGGGTGGGATCTGGGGTGGCAACAGCTGCCCGAGGGGAAGGGACAGAGGCACTGAGCAGGGCAAAATGGTATAGGGAATCCCATGTGCTGGCTTTAGGTGTGGGAGTCAGCTCATCTGACTTTTCAATTTGAGAGCTGGATCGGGTTCTTCCCTAGTTGTCTTTAAGGGAATAAAGACAGGTCCCTGTCTCCATAATCTAGTTCTTGAGAAACCAGATTTTTATCATTAACATATTGAATTAGAAGTTGACACATTACATCCTCATTCAACCCAAACTTTGGCCAGAAGATTGAGGGTTTGAAAATGGGACCTTGGGTCCAAATGAAACAGCAATATTTTATCCTCTAATGCTTTTTCTTATGTTTAGTCCTCTCATTATGCTTCCAATATTTTAACATGAGACCCAGGGGACTATCAGGGGGCATGTCTTTGTTACTATCCTCTTCTTTTTTGCGCCCTGTCTTTCTTGGGGCTTTTCCCATGTTAGGTCCTGGTTAGGCTCAATCCCACATGCTAGAGATTTCTTCCCTATCCTTTAACGCCACCTGCTGGAGGCTCCTTGCACGCTTCTTTCGCTTCATCCACTCTGGTTGCTTCTCTCCCAGGAATTTTAGGTCCCTCTTAGCATTCGCATCATGGTATAAACCTCACAGCAGGATCTGCCCTGAGCCCTATGAGGATACACTGAATTCCTCTTCAAAGGTTTTTTGTTCAAATAAAAAAACCGCAGATAGGACCCACTCACTCCTCACAGCAATAATGCTTAGTATCATCTACACAAACAGCAACACAAGCAGTAGTGCTTGTGATCATTCACACACACTTTCGACCTCCAGAATATCCTGACCACCAAGGAAATACTTTGTCACCCCTGCTACATTTCTTACCTCGGTCTGTGCACAGTTACCTGGTCGCCACGGTATGTGAAGATCCTTTCCCCAAAGATGCTGGCCTGTTTCTTTCCACGTTGCTGAGAGCCCAGGTTTATCAATTGCACCAGCTGAGTCTTGATTCCTTACCTTTATGGCCACTGCAACGAGGCAGCGGGGTGCGCCTCCTCACAGGAGAGGACTGGACCCTCCCCCAGAGGAGAATGGGAATGCTGGGTGGGCCCCCACATTTGTGGAAAATAAATTTTCAGTGAAACAAAGAACAGTCAGCACTCCAGCAACAAGTTTTTACAGCAAGGCAAATTTACTTCTATGAAAGAGTGGTCTTGCAGATGGAGCAATGGCAAGATCATACTGAACAAGGGAGGGGAAAGTGTTCTTATTCCTAATGCAGCTAGTCCCTACTGTTGTGTCTTTTCCCTATTGGATAGGGTTGGACTGCACACTCTTAGCTAATTCAGATGGGCTATTTCAAAGAGAGCAGGAGTATGAGCTGGAGTGGCAGGGTGAGTACTTTCAGCGGGAAAGACAGTTACAGAGCAGGTGTCTAAGGATGACTGAGGACAGAGCAGGTGACTAAGAATGACTAAAGACAAAACAGGTGTTAGAGGTTAGAAGGGGGTTGTTTAATGAAACTAGGGGCAAGGAGGCATAAATAATGAGGAAGTTAAACTTTAAAACGGAGAACAAAGAACAGAGAAGCTGAACATACTGACATATTTACTCTTTGATGAGGAACTCAGAACTCATTGTACTTAATCTTCCCCCTCTTGAATTTTAAAGGATTTTTACAGGCTAAAATCTTTGAAAAGGAATTCGCTGTATCCTATTCCTCAGGTGTTCTTTCCACCAAGCTTTCAGCCATGTCAGGTGTTCTTTACGCCAAGGGTGCAGCCTCGTCAGGTGTTCCTTCAGATGTTCCTTCTGCCAAACACACAGTCTGGTTAAATTTTCCTTCTGCTAAATATCATCCTTTTGACTCTTTACCTGGAAAACTTCTACTCATTCAGCTTGCTTTCCTTAAACACTACCAAACTTTTGTTTTCTCCTTTTTTTTTTTTTTTTTGAGACAAGAGCCTCGCACTGTCGCCCAGGCTAGAGTGCAGTGGCATGATCTCAGCAGATCACTGCAACCTCCGCCTCCTGGGTTCATGAAATTCTCCTACCTCAGCCTCCCATGTAGCTGGGATTACATATGCATGCCACCCAGGCCCAGCTAATTTTTTGTATTTAGTAGAGATGGGATTTCACCATGTTAGTCAGGGTGGTCCCAAACTCCTGAGCTCAAGCAATCCGCCTGCCTTGGCCTTCCAAAGTGCTAGGATTACAGGAGTGAGCCACCGCTCCTGGACACTACCAAACTTTTTAAAGCTTAAATTCTTCACGTTGGATATAAAATGTCTGACACAGACTGAATATGATAATGACATAATAAGTGATAATTATAAGCTCCCAAAGGGGTTCTGGCACAGAGTAAGCACTAAATAAAGTAGTAAATAATAAAAAAGATGATAATAACAAGAAAAATGCTTAGTACCTTAATAAAGTAGTAAATAACAAAAAATGACAATGATAATAACAAGAAAGATGCTTAGTACCTTAAAGATACCTGACAGTTATTTGTTAAGTGGACAAGTGGATAAACAAATAAAAAACATAGTTAGGAAATTCTGTTGGAAAAATGCAGAAATTCAATAGAGACAGCTCTATTGTATTATGAGCACCTTAAAGACCCAGACTATGTGTATTCCATCTTGGTCTCCTGCCACTTGCAAAATCTAACTTATAGAAGTCCTTTGATAAATATGTAATAAATTAAAGATGTGCTCATACAGTTCATATTGTACAATGTATTGTTTCACATTTATGTATCACAGTAGCACTTTTGTTATTGTGAAAATTTTTTCCACTTTTATTATAATTTGTTGAGCCTAGAGTTGAGCTAGTTGAATATTTATAATGATACTATTTTGGCTAGTAGGAACAGAGTAACTTGTTGTACCAAAATTACTATTAACACACTAATTATCCAGCAGATAGAACAACACATCTTGTTCTAATGAAGTAAATATATCTTATTTGGTTTCAACTTAGAGGGAATGAATTTGATAATAGTGAGACCTTGTTGGTACAAGACTATGTAACATAACCTGCGCTTCTCAACAAAGAATTGCTTTTCTGACTTCTGCACTCAGTAGGTATCTTTGAAAAATAATCTCCTATTGGTACTGATGCACCCTCACTAAGTTATGTTAATTCTTATTGACATTCATTTATGGTGCAAGAATTTTGAGTTCCAAATTCTAAAGATAGTTACTTTTTTAGTGACACAAGTCACTATGCCACACAGTTGATCTTTGAATAAGGGTTTTCACTCTAGAAGCCCACTAATAGACAGATTTTTCTTTTCCTTTGCCACTGCAAGATACCAAGACAAATCTCTCCTCTGCCTCCTCCTTATCAGCCTACTCAATGTGAAGGCAATGAGAATGAAGTCCTTTATGTATAATAATTCACTTCCATCTAATAAATAGTGAATATATTTCTTCCTCTTTATAACAGCTTCTTTTCTCCAGCTCACTTTATTCTAAGAATACAATATATAGTACATATAAAATAGAAACTATGGGTTAATTGACTGCTTATGCTTTCACCTTTTTTCAGGCTCCAGGTCAACAGTAGAAAATTAGTAGAGTTTTGGAGGAGTCAAAAGAAACAGATTTTCATATAAAGCAGATTTTCAGCTGCATGAGGGGATCAGCACCCTAACTCTCATGTTGCTCAAGACTCAACTGTAATTAATTCTAATTCTCTAAATGCAAATCATTTATTGTAAAAATTAAATAAAGCACAGAAGTTCGAGACCAGCCTGGGCAACATAAGGAGACCATGTCTCTACAATAAAGAAACAAACAAATAATTTATTTTTTATTTAACAAATAATCATTTTATATGTTTGTTTATGTTTAATAAACAAACAAACACTTGTTTATTTAACAGTTTGTTTAACTGTGTTCCTTTATAGGTTATAATATTCAAATGTTGCAGTTTTCTGTTATTAATTCCTACTTTTCATTATTAGATGTTCTATTATTTGTGGCTTGTAATCCAAGGCATCTAAGCTAGTTTATAATTTGTAATAAAGTTTATTTATGAATATATTAATTCATTAAATTGGATAAGCTGATAAACCCCTATTACTGAGCTCATCAATCACACCAAGGATTATACATTTTATAACAAGCATAAATTGTTATGACAGTTGAGGAAACATACAATATATAAACTTAAAAATTGTTTTACTCATTTATACAAAAGTTTTATATAGGATATTAGGGACCACAATTAAACAAATATTTTTTCAGATAATATTTTTGAGATTATAAACCACCTAAAACTAAATTCTTTTTTTTTTTTTTTTACTAGCAAGATTTATTGCAAAGAGCGAAAGAACAAAGCTTCCACAGTGTGGAAGGGGACCCGAGCGGGTTGCCCAACTAAATTCTTAATTCTGAATTATAAACTAAAAAATTAAATCAAAGCTATGTATATATAAAAACACTTACATATAGGTATATATGTAAACACATGCTACTTACACATTGCTTTTTTAATAGTTCTTTTGTGATCAACACTCCTATAATCTCATGGTAGCACCACCAAGTGTAGTTTACTATCAGAGGTCTTACCTGGATTGCTATTTTGAGAATTTTTAGATACCTTTTGTTATATTCCAAAAGTTGTTGATCAATGCTATGTATAAAAATGAAATAAATAAAATTACTATTTTAACATTGATATAAAAAACATTTACCAAATTTATTAAGTTCTTAGAGTATTTCAGACAATATTAGATCTAACATCAGAACATTACTTTTTCCATAGACTTTAAGTTTGTAAGCTCTATGAACTTATTAAGCTTCTAATTAAAGAAGAAGAAAGATAAAACACTCATGAAGTGAGGGCAGTGTAACTTAGTAAATTAACTAGAGGTAGCTTGACATATGAAAAATGTCCTTAACTCAGAATAAATCCTAGCATGGCTACCAACAGGTATTTTTTCTTGAACAAGTTGCTTCCTTAGACTCAATGTCTTCTAACAATGAGGATTTTAGGGCCTTATTTCACTATGTTATTATAAAGATTTAACAAGATAACATTTTTAAAATTCTTAAAATAAAAAGTGAAGCAAAAACATAATTTGTTCTTGAACCTTATTGCTGAAACTATTTTAAAATTCCCAATAAAACCCAATATATTGGCCTGGTGCAGTGGCTCATGCTTGTGATGCAAGCAATTTGGGATGCTGAGATAGGAGGATTGCTTGAGTCCAGAAGTTCAAGACCAGCGTGGACAACATAGGGAGACCATGTCTTTACAAAAATTAAATTACAAAAAAAAGAAAAAACAAATGTGTTTCTTCATAGGTTATAATATTCAAATATTGCAATTTTCTGTTATTAATTCCTACTTTTGGATATTAGATGTTCTATTCTTTGTGGCTTGTAATTCAGAGCATCTAAGCTATTTTATATTTTGTAATGAAATTTATTTATAAATATATTAAATCATTAAATCAGATAACCTAATTATACTCTATTACTGAGCTCATCAACCACACCAAGGGCAGAAAATAATAGATGTCAGCATCTGGCTTGGACTACTGCTACTCTTTATCTACCTCCTTAAACTCTGAACCAACAAATCTTTGTTAGAATGATGCTTAGTCACTATGTTCATTTCCAGCTGCTGTGGAAGACAAAACGCTACCTTTATTTTTTGTAAGTTCCACAAAGAAGATGCAAGTTGGTATTTTCTCATTTCTGAGATCCCTACTAACAAAATATTGCACACAAGATCCTATGTGTTACCACATCTCATTTCATAGATCACCTTACATAAATATTTTTTTGTATGAAAATCACAATTGCAATACTGGGTGTCACCCATTTTGCTTTGACTCACACCATTTCCTTGGAGCTAGTTAGAAAGGAGTAAAATGTCCTTTTGGGGACTGCAAGAAATATGCAACACTTTACAGATTTCTATGTCATCCTTGTGCGGGGACCATGCTGGTCTTCTCAACGTTGTTTCAATTTTACTATATGTACCACTGAAGCCAGCACAAATCCTTACTTTTATACATGAAGACTGATCAGTGATGGATGAGGCTTAGCTCTGTTAAATCTAACCAACTTACTTGAGATTTAGTGAAGTCTATTGAATGGCTTCATGGTGATGCAGCATTTGAAAATATTTAAAAAACTCGAGGTAGAGATGTAAGTAGCATGGGAGATTTTTACTTTTAGGAAAAAAGAATCACTTGAAGGGACAACCACAAGTTGGAACCCACTACAACTTGGGAAAGATGACATGGGATTTTACAGAATAAGGTGAGACCTTCCACTACCTACAAAATGGTGCTACACAGGATATAAAGGACCAGAGATATAGATCTGGTAACAAAGACAAAATGGATCTCTAATTTCTTCCTGTAACATTATTTCAACCTGAGTTACAGTTTCAAACTACCACAACTAATATTGGCTAGAGAAAATAGAAAAAAGCCAATCAAAGGATAACTTACCATGAAGGTCTAGGCCATATCCAGGCTAAGATGTGGGTTTCACGTCAGGTTTTGAGTGTGAGAAGAAGGGTCAATTTGCTCACTATGTGTGTGGCTAAAGCTAAAAGTTCTAGCTGCCAGAGTGGGGTGCTGGTACTTTGGAAACAATGGCTGAGAATATGTACGTGAACTTTAAAAACATGTAATAACTTCGAAGTCTACACCATGAAGGCTGAGAGATCTGCGTTACTAAGGGCATCCTGGTCACAAAGGTCAATCATTACCAGACTGCAGAAGCAGTTTCAATGGCAATGATGCAGCAACAGAATCAATGGAAACAACAAAATAAAGAGAATGGCCATTTCCCAACCCCCCAATCCTTCTGACTTGTACAAAAAGAATGTCTTCCTTGGACTTAGGTTCAGATTCTTTTAAAAGATTCAAGAATGAAGGTATGGAAGACAGCCCCCAGGGGACACTGTCAGGTTTTCTGCTTAAAGTGGACATTTTGAGACCCAAATAACTAATTAGAAAAACCAAAATTGTGACATTATGTTTATCCCATGCATAGGGGTTATACTTCAAATCAAGTAGACAACATTAGCATCCCTAAAGCCCTAAAATAAAGAATCCTGGAGCCATTACTCCTTCTAACTAGTATAGCTTTTTGCCTGGTTTCTGGCTGATGAAGTGAACTAACTCACTGTCATTCAAAAACTACCTGAAACAAACTATAAAATCTCACCTAGTCTTTAAATGTAAACACTTACAGATTAAACCCACAAGCAACAGCATAACGTTGCAATCATTCCACACGTATCTTCAGCACAGATGTCAACATTTTGCTGAAGAACCATGCCAACTATCTCTGATGATCCATGGCATATGGCAAGCATGAGGGCTGTGCTAAAATAACAAAGAGATAACTTCATTATTATGAACAGAACCAGTTTAATATGTGCCTGTCAGTGTAGAATTAACCATTTACATGTATTAACAAATGTTAAGTATCTTGAGTGCTCAAGTGTTTATCTTTGTAAATCACGACCAAGGCTAAAAGGAAGGGGTGAAAAGACTCATGTCTCACTGGGACATGGCATAGTAGTACTGCACCTTCTCTTGTAAACATTCAGCCTCTGCATCACTACATCAACTCTGGTTATCTCCAAAAATCATTATACTGTAATGATTTTATTGTTTCCCATGTAAACCAAGAGCTTCTTGAGGGCAGGGTCTGTATCTTTTACCTCTATATAATTAAACCCTAAGACATAGTAGTAAATATTTTATTTTTTACTAAGTTAGTAATCTAAATTATTACCTCTAGAACAGTGTTTCTTCAACTATATTCCAAAGAATAATTACCTTACCAGAAGCACTGTACCCCAACAGATTCCACCATTATCTATGTTCAAGAAATGTTATAAAACTGTGAATTAAATGTTCATTATTCAAGAAATGAATTGAACTTTACCTAATCCCTATTGACAGTATTTTTTGTGGCAAACATTAACATTTGACAAATAGAATTTCAGGGATGCAGTTCTGAAAGCTTCCCCCCAAAAATGGAGGTTTCCTCTGGGTGATACAAACTCACTTGATTCTCTTCTGTCAATGATCCCAAGATTCCAAATGCCAATGTCAGGCACTTCTGCTCTAAATGGGTCAATAAGGAAGTGGCTCTAAATTAAAAGAGGTTGGCTTCAAATAAACTTTGATTGCTCATTATTAAATGGTCCATGGGGTTTATCCTATTACCAGACAATAGGATTTTATCTCAGCTATTAGAAATTCAGTATAAAAGCCCAGGTGAGGTGGTTCATGCCTGTAATCCCAGCACATTGAGAGGCCAAGGCAGGCAGATCACAAGGTCAGGAGATCGAGACCATTCTGGTCAACATGGTGAAACCCCATCTCTGCTAAAAATACAAAAAATTTAGCTGGGCATGGTGGCACATGCCTGCATCCCAGCTACTTAGGAGGCTGAGGCAGGAGAATCGCTTGAACCAGGGAGGCAAATATTGCAGTGAGCCGAGATCACACCACCGCACTCCGACCTGGTGACAGAGCAAGGCTCCGTCTCAAAAAAAAAAAAAAAAAGAAAGAAAGGAAAGAAATTCAGTATAAAATTTTATTCTCTATTATAATGATACTCCTAGGATCCTAATGCATATCTACTTCTTAAAATGCAATAATCCATTTTTATTCTGGTTTCTATTGTAATTGATACTATTTTTTGGCAAAATATCAGAAGCATGAATAAAATGGCTTATTAATGAAAGTTCTAACTCATGTATATGGCTTAGCAAAATAGAAGCCACTAAATAACTTGAATTTTAAGGGACAATTCTGCGGAGAAAGATATAATATTTTCTGCAATATGCATAACCTATTCAAATATAACCATGATTAATCTAAGAAGGCTTAAAGGCCTTCTAATAGAAGATGATTATTTATGGTTTATATGAAGAAAAATAATCATTTAAAAAATATTCTAAATTCTAGAAGACTACCCCATTATTAATGAATTAATGTAAAATATAAACTATATATTATAAACACCTATAAACTGTCTTTGATAACTTGAAATCTTTACCAAAATATACTATGAGAGAGGAATTGATAACTGAAATATTTACAGAGGCAAAAGAGGTCAGTTGAATAAGTGATGTAACTAGGTGGGCACAGTAGCAAACTGGAAACATATGCTTTATGTAAAGCTAGAATGTCTTCATAGCATACCAAACAGTCATATGGGCTCAAGAGACACCAGATTCAATCCTTTAAGAAGAAATCCAGATTTCTGCATGTCTCTGAAATTTTACATGTTGACTCAATTTATGCAGGCAAATTTTAATTTCCTGTAGTTTTACACTAACTGGAAAGAAAAAAAAACTTGGGTGCTAAAGAATATTTGAAAATGTTTTACCTTTAACAAATTCAAATATTTATCATAATGCACAGAAAAGCCATACTAATAGTTCTTGTAAAAATATTAATATTTAAAGCAAAATCCTAGACAATTAAGTTTTGTCAAACTATTTTCATAGAAAAATAGGAATGTTTGAGCTTCCAAATATAAAACAATTTACATATGTTAATGTTAAAACAAATGGATTTCAAATATTTTGAAAATAGCATTGGTTAACGTCTACCTTGTTCATCACTTCGATGTCTGCACCTTAGGACAGCAATTTTGCCACCACTGACAAGTTCTCACTATAAACAGCATAATGGACAGCTGTGTTGCCATACACATCTACAATATTTGGATCAGCACCAGAATCTATGAGAATATTTGCACAAGCCTCCCTCTGGCATTGCAGAGCCTGTTAGTATTAAAGCAAGAAGTAAATTATAAATTATAGGAAATATAAATAAATATTCCACAGGTTTCACAAACTAATTATATTTCAATGAGATAAATTCATCTTTATTCTATGTATTTAAACCAAATCCATCTCCTGCTGAAAGAACTGGCTACAATTTACCTTCATCAGAGGTGTCCTGTTTTCACCATCAAGGACGTCAACCTGGCGTTTTCTATCTACCAGTAGTGTTACTACTTCTGCGTGGCCATTGGCACAGGCCCAGTGTAGAGCAGTCCTACGAGAGTGAGAGGACTTTTTAGGAAATTTTAGTCCACTGTCTCAAAACATATAATGATTTATGTAATTGTCAACATTAAATATCATGCTCTTTCTCTGCCTTCAAAACAAATATTTAATATTCTCCTGAAGAAAGTACAACATTCATTCGCTCTTATTACTCACTACATTAATGAAAGAGTGGCCTATTTGAATAGAAAGAGCTTGGCCTTTGATTCAGTTCAACATGGGCTTGAATATTACTTTAAAGTCTTTCACCTTCTAGCTATCACTTAACCTTTCTGTGCCTCAATTTTCTCATCAATAAAGTGAAGATGAATACAGCAGTTATCTCACAGGACATCACTGTGATGCCTCATGAGAATCTGTGCAACGTTTTTCAAAGAATTCCTAGCACATGTAACAGCTCAGTAATTGTTAGATATTGTAATTATTTCTACTACTTAACAAAGAAAACATTTTAAGTAAAATGGTACAATTATGCCTACTTTGTGGTATGTTTTAAAGGTTAGAGATAAACCTGTAGTTTAATAATTCTAAGATACTCTATTTCTCATATTTTAACATCTCTGACATTGAAATGCCACTTATAAGTCATTATTTGTTACAAGTATATTCTGCAGAAATTTAAACAATCTTTTATTGTTACATAAATAAGGAGGCATCACACAATTCATGGTGCCTTCCATGAAGTGGCATATGGTATATACAACAGGATGATGGCAGTCCTAGTCATAGGATTAACACTTAAAGAAATTTTAGCTTTTAAGAGTGCTACACAAAAGGAGAGTTGAAATAAAAACAAACTGTTAAAACAAAGTACTTCTTTAATATTTTTAAAACTTCAAGCCAAAGAAAACTTGGGATTAAAGTAGGTATGGATCATTTTATTCCATATTTAGATTTATAGAATGTATGTAAATTCATATTTAAATTTATAGAATGCATGTAAATTAGGTATTTCCAATGATTAATATTACTATTTAAAGCTGTTATAAATTTCCAAAATCATGGTTGGTAGTTATCTTTTACTAGTTTCTTACTTCAGAAGTGTTTTTGTTTTAAAGATGAGAGGAAAAGCTTCAATTGAGATTCAGTCCTAGTACTCCAACTTTAAATCTCTCACTTTGCTAAGGCTGAGCAGGTAAATGTAAAATTTTTAAGGATGAAAGGATTTTGAGAGTTAATGTATCTTCTACATAATAGGCATTCAGCTTACATGTGATAAATTGATTAAAAGGATAAATACAGTTGAGAAGTTCAATACCTTAAAAAAACTGCTATAAATAAAGCACTTATATTTTCTATTTTATTTTCTTAATAATAAAACTACACTAATTAATCTATAATTATTGACATATATGTAATAAATCTATATATAATAAAAATATGTGTCTAATAAGATGTATATGTAAATCAACAAGCACAGGTAAAAAGATTGTCTTTTGAAGATGCTAAAAGTTCACAGAATATACTAATTCACAAAAAATAAAAATTAAAGTATGGAAAGTGAGAAATTATTTTCATTGGTGCAAAATTATATTCCTGCTCTTCCCAAAAATTATTTCATTAATAATAAACTTTTTCTAATAGCATTGTACATGCTCAATGTGGAAATCAAAGATAATAAAAAGGAAAAACATTTTATATTAAAACAAATGCCCTCAAATAACAAATTTTATCAGGTTTCATACACAATTTCAGATAACACAAGACTGTAGTCTGTGTGTATGTATAATCAAACTGAACTTTACCCTCACTTGATACACCAAAATACATTTTCAAATGTCACCTACTTCTCTACATATTTCTACCTTCAGTGGTCACATATTATCCCATGCTGTAAATTCACTGAAATGTATTTATAAAAGTCATTATATGGATTCTTCTTAATAATATGGTACTTACCACCAAATTGTCTATTTGAAAAGTTATCTGCAACTTAAACTTTAAACAGCAGTGTAAATATCACTGCTCTTTTTCCTCATAAACTTTGTAGATAGAAAGCAGTGTTTGATTCCTCTTTTAACTTAAATGCCTTCTGTAACCAGGAACACTAAATATTGTTTTCTGTGTGCATAGGTCACTTGCAGATCTTAAGAAAATACTTTTCCAATTTTAAATTAGAAGCAAAGTACTATTTTTAGACCTGCAATTTAGATCTCTAATTTAAATTGCTCAATTTTAAATGAGGGTTTTTTGTTGATTTAAGTGAATTATCTATAAAAGGACGATTTTTAAATCTAATATGTATACACACACGCACATACATGTGTAGTAAATATTTTACAAGTATGCGGCCTTTTATTTTTTCTCATTACAGTTTAATTTAATTTTGTTTTGCTTAATTATCCTTCAGACTGCTTGCTTCTGAGCTTCTTAGAAAGGTGTTGTCAACATAAAAATGTACCTGTGTAAATAGGCATTTATGTTTTCTTCTGGTGCTTTTATCATTTTGTATATTAAAAAAATTAATCTATATTCCGTTAGAAATTTACTTTGTGGCATAAAAATCTAGTTTTCTCCAAAAAGCAGGCATTTCCCTTATGAAACTATTCTTTCCCTACTAGTATAAAGTGTGAGCATTATCAAGTTCTAAATTCTTAGATATTCGGGTGTTTCTGGATTTTCTACTCTGTTGTATTCATTTACCTGTCTTTTCAGCTGTTATCAAAGAATTTGTGATTTATGTATTTATTTTTGAGACACAGTCTCACTCTGTCGCCCAGGCTGGAGTGCAGTGATGGGATCTCAGCTCACTGCAACCTCCACCTCCCAGTTTCAAGCGATTCTCGCTCCTCAGCCTCCCGAGTAGATGGGCTTACAGGCTACCGACATCGTGCCTGGCTAATTTTTGTATTTTTGTAGAGTCGGGGTTTCACCATATTGGCCAGGCTAGTCTTGAACTCCTGACCTCAGGTGATCCACCCGCCTCGGCCGCCCGAAGTGCTGGGACCACAGGCATGAGCCAGCACGCCTGGACTTTTTTTTTTCTTTTTTCAAATTTTATTTATTTATTTATTTATTATTATTTTGAGACGGAATCTCGCTCTGTCACCCAGGCTGGAGTGCAGTGGTGCGATCTCGGCTCACTCCAAGCTCCGCCTCCCAGGTTCACACCATTCTCCTGCCTCAGCCTCCCGAGTAGCTGGGACTACAGGTGCCCGCCACCATGCCCGGCTAATTTTTTGTGTTTTTAGTAGAGACCGTGTTAGCCAGGATGGTCTTGATCTCCTGACCTCGTGATCCACCCACCTCGGCCTCCCAAAGTGCTGGGATTACAGGCATGATCCACCGTGCCTGGCCGTGGCCCATTTTGTGCAAATTAATAGCACATTTTGAAATCTAGAAGAGCAAGACTTTTCTACTCCGTTAGAAAAATTTTTAAATGTCATCACAGTAGTAAAAGACAGAGTGTGTAATTTTAAAAATGTTAAAATGTTGATGATTTTATTTGGTTTATGTAAAACTGATAAAGAACTTGCATCTTGAGAAAAATGAGTCTTCTTAAATTCGAAAACATAAACCATCTTCCCACCTCAAAGTTACCTTCTAAGGTCCCTCAGCAAAGATTATATTTACATAGACATTCATTGATATTGAAATGGATACTGGACTTTATCCAAAAAATTTTTAGCCAAGAAGTTAATATATTATGGGAATTATTTCATTATGCACCATTTCATAATGTATCTAACGTTATCTTTTAAAACCTGTACATTAAAAGTAAAACCCTGTATGTACTTAATTTTGTAAGTTAAATCACTTTAAAATTCTCTACACAGTGCTCTGTGAGAGGAAGTGGGAGTGAAGGAGAAAGCAGCTAACTAAAGTTTGAGGTTGATTTTAAGGTGGCCTGGGCCCTCCACCCTGCAGGGCGCCCCCATCCAAGGCCTGGGGGGCCTGCCCGGGAAGAAGATCAAGACCTCGGGGCCCAGGACAGCCGCCCCGCTGCCCGCCACTCCTCCACCTGCTCCCCTCGTCCCCAGGACCCCCAGCCCCCACTCTGAAGGGGCGATCCTCCCACAGCCGCCTCCTCCTCCTGCAGCCCCGGCTCAGGCACGGTCTGGTACCTCTTCTTCGCATCTCTTATGTTCAGGTCCATTGTCGTCTTCTTCATCATCCTCTCCAGCTTCCAGGCTTGGCCACGGGAGGCAGCTTTGTGGATCTTCCTGAGATCCCCATGGTGAATCACGTAAGAGCCATTGTTGGTGTAGACCAGCTGACTGAAGGGGCTCCGGCGCTCCGGGCCCGTCTGGCCCTTGACAGCGGCGGCAGAGAGCCTCTCCATGGCTGCAGCCACCTGCTAGACAGAGCGCGCACCTCCCGCTGCTCGCCCTTCCCCAGTCCCCGCCGCTCGCCCTCGCCCTTCTTCAGTCCCCGCACCCGCCCTGACACCAGTAGAAATCTCAGTCGGGCCAAGCTTTTGGACACTCCAGCCTCTCCTGGGAGAAAATCGCTGCGCAAAACCATTAGGCAGCTGAGCAGAACCGTTAGGCAGCTGAGCAGAACCTTTAGGCAGCTGAGCAGAACCGTTAGGCAACAGAGCATGCGCAACTCAGCAGACCGGGGAGACAGGCGAGGCGGGAAACCGCCCGGGCTACGCTTCGCCCAGCACCGCGTGCAGGTGACACCTGCCACTGAGGTGCTGTCGGGCTGGCGGGGCTCCCTGGAGCGGAACGTGGGGGGCTCCCTGCCACACGGCCTGCTTGACAGAGCCGCCCCTGGCCCCTCCTCAACCTGAGATCCAGGAGCTGGGCCCTGGTGCTGGGCATCGTGCAGCCTCTGGGGTGGCGCTGAGCGTCGGTTCCCGCCCTCCTGCAGCCAGGGACCCAACCACTGACTTAGGCGCCCTGGAGGCTTCTGGCCCAAGTATCCATGCTGCTGGTGGCGCTGGCAGGGTCGGGGTTGCAGCCTCTGCTGCCAGGTGGCAGCTGCAGCTGAGCCCATGGTAGAGGCTACAGAGCTGGGCCCAGACCACTGAGCATTGCCGAGTACATCGCCCTTCCACCCGGGGCTCTGCTCTTCCTCAGCTCGCGCTGGCAGTGCAGGCTCGCCACCACTGGGCCCTGTACAGCTGCGGCCATGAGGCTTTGCGGCAGGTTCCCACCCTCCTGCAACTGAGGTCCCACTGCCTGACTTAGGTGCAGTGGCGTTGTCCGACCCTGGGGTTCGCCTGCTGGTGGGGCGGACATGTTCTGGGGTTGCCACTGCTGCTGCCACCTTCAAATGCCAGCTGCAGCTGAGCCCATGGTAGAGGCTGCAGGGCTGGGCCCGATGGCCTGAGGGTCACTGAGTGGCACACGCCCTCCCACTCTAGGCCCTGCTCTTCCTTGGCTCGCGCCCTGAGTGCTGGTTTGCAGGCTCTGGGGACTGTGCAGTCGCCAGGATGGAGCTGAGTGGCAGGTTCAGCGCTGCCTGGGCCCAGAGGGGAAGAGGGGAGTTTGGGGTTGCTTGGCCGTATTTGCCTGTGTGCCAAGTGCAGGTAGTGGCTACAGTTCTGACAGGCACGGATGGCCCGTCCCGTTTAGAGGGCTTCAAGGTTGCTGAGAGCGCCAGCTGCCAGGCCTCAGGATCCCTTCCTCGTTGAGCAGCATCTGGAGTATGGCGGTGGCGCTGGGTAATCTGCAGCCATCCTGGTCAGTCCCTTGGACTGAGAGGGAAACTTGGCTGAGTAGAGCAGATGGAGAAACAGTTAAATTGAACTTATCTATAAAGACTTCCAGGCTGGGTGCAGGACCTCATGCCTGTACTTACAGCACTTTGGGAGACCGAGATAGGAGGATCGCTTGATCCCGGGAGTTTGAGACCAGCTTAGACAACACAGAGAACGTTCATCTCTGTAAAAATAAAACCAATCAGCCAGGCATGGTGGTGCATGTCTGTGGCCCCAGCTACTTGGGAGATAGATTGTGGGAGGATCACTTGCACCCGGGAGTTCGTGGGTACAGTAAACTGATTGTGCCACAAACAAGGAATGAGAGGTCCTGTTGCTCCACATCCTTGACAGCATTTGACTTTTTCAGTCTTCTGGATTTTGGTTATTGTTTGATTGTTTGTGCCGCTGCACTCCAAGCCTGGGCAACAGAGACTCTCTCTCTCAAAATAAATAAATAAAATACTTCTAGTCACTATATCATATTTATGTCGAATTCTTTACACATCAAGCTTGAAGAGTTAAAACCCACAGCACCCTCTGATTATGTGATAGGGACCATGTGATTAAAGTGGGTGACCATGTTCTTGCCTCCAGGGGGCCCAAGTCAAGGGATGGGTCCTCAGCTGCAGGAGAGTGGGAATGGATGCTCAGCACCACCCCGGAGGCTACACAATGCCCAGCCCCAGGGCCCAACTCCTGGATCCCGGGTCATGAACAAAAACCCAAGAATTGAAGACTTGAGTGTTAGATGTGCTCATTTCTGCTGGGATATCATTGGTTCTAGACTGTCTTAGCTTACAGAGCAAATAAATAAATGTGTGTATACAAAGCTGTGTATAGACATAACTATAAATATTTCTAAATGTAATGTGTGTAAGTGTTAGTTCATACTGATGTCTACGACTCAATTCTTTTATCACATGATCATTCTGGCCTTCTCCCTTTGCTTACATGTAACCTACCACTTTAATAGTGAGAAACTAGACTCCTGTCATTTGTCATCCATTTGCTTAACTGTCTAGTTCCAATATACATTTATTCTCTATCAATATCAGAATCATTATCCCATTTCCTGTAGGAAACAGCTATACCAACCAGATCACATGAGTTGTTTGCAGTTTCTCTTCCTTTCAGTCTTCATGCATTTTGTTTCTTTCTTTTTTTTTTTTTTTTTTTTTTTTTTGAGATGGAGTTTTGCTCTTCTTGCCCAGGCTGAGGCTGGAGTGCAGTGGCATGATCTCGGCTCACTGCAACCTCTACCTCCCAGGTTCAAGCAATTCTCCTGCCTCAGCCTCCTGCATAGCTGGGATTACAGGCACCTGCCATCATGCCCAGCTAATTTTTGTCTTTTTAGTAGAGACGGGGTTTCACCATTTTTGCCAGGCTAGTCTCAAACTCCCAGCCTCAGGTGATCCGCCCACCTTGACCTCCTAAAGTGCTGGGATTACAGGTGTGAGCCACCACAGAAGGCCCATCCATTTTCTAAGATGCTTATGTCAGCACGTTTTTCCCACTCCCTAGAGTGAAGTGGCTTTATACATTTGTAGTACTTTAGATTTTTTATCACTTTCTGCATTCCATCCCAGGATCCCCAGAACACCTACTTTGTTGTTGTTGTTGTTGTTTTAAAATTTGCATATATTAAGTGACACTCTTTGTGCTGTGAGATTCTTTGTTTTTTAACAAATGCAGGCCGGGTGCAGTGGCTCACGCCTCTAATCCCAGCACTTTGGGAGGCCGAGGCGGGCAGATCACGAGGTCAGGAGATGGAGATCATCCTGGCTACATGGTGAAACCCCGTCTCTACTAAAAATACAAAAACAAAATTAGCCGGGCGTGGTGGCAGGCGCCTGTAGTCCCAGCTACTCGGGAGGCTGAGGCGGGAGAATGGCGTGAACCCGGGTTGCGGAGCTTGCAGTGAGCCGAGATCGTGCCACTGCACTCCAGCCTGGGCGACAGAGCAGACTCCATCTCAAAAAACAAAACAAAAAAAAAACAAACGCAAATGCATACTCTCATGTTTCCACAGTTGTGGTATCATACAGAATACTTTGACTGGTCCAAATAATGCCCATGTGCTTCACCTATTAAACCTCCTCACTGAATCTTTTGCCAGATCATTTACTTTTTTAGGAAGTAATATTCCCTTATATGATGTATCACAGTGTTTTTTGTTGTTTTTTTTTTTCCATTCATCAATTATGAGACCTCTTGGTTTCTTCCAGTTTCGGGAATTATAAACAAACTGCTATATATATATATTCATGTACCAGTTTTGGTGTGGACATAGTTTTCAAATAAGGTGGATAAACACCTAAAAACACATTTGCAGCCAGGCACGATGGCTCACGCCTGTAATCCTAGCACTTTGGGAGGCCGATGCGATCGCATTGCCTGAGCTCAGGAGTTGGACACCAGCCTGGGCCACATGGTAAAATTTCCCAAATCAGCAGGTTATACTGCCTCTAGTAAAATACAAAAAAAAAAAAAAATAGCCGAGCATGGTGGTAGGTGCCTGTATTCCCAGCTACTCTGGAGGCTGAGGCAGGAGAATTGTTTGAACCCAGGAGGTGGAGGTTGCAGTATCCTTCTATTGCACCACTGCACTCCAGCCTGGGTGACAGAGCAAGATTCCATCTCAAAACAAACAAAAAAACCACAATTGCTATATTATATTTAAGACTTTTTTTTACATGTAGTATAGCAACTATGGGCATAAGAAATTGCCCATCTGTCTTCCAAAGTGGTGGTTTCATTTTGCAAGCAGTGAAAGAAAAAAAACAAAAAACAAAATTCTTCTTGCTCCTGGTTTTTGGGAAAAAGCATCCCATTTCTCATCATTAAGTATGATAGTTCTAGGGTTTTTGTAGATGTTCTTTTTCAAGTTAAGAAAATTCACCTCAATTCCTAGTTTTCTGAGAGTTTCTCAAATTATAGATGGGTGATAGATTTTGCCATAAGCTTTTTCTACATCGGTTGATACAGTCACATGATTTTTCTTCCTTAACCTGTTGATTTAGGAAATTCTGCAGATAATTTTCTAATATTGAATCAGTCTTGCATACAGTCTTACCTAGAATAAATACATAGTTAGATTCAATTGTCTAGTATTTTGTGAAGGATTATTGAATCTTTGTTCATGAGAGATATTGATATATTGATTTTATTTCATGTTATGCCTATTGGATTTGGTAAGAGGGTAATATTTACCTCATAGAATGAATTAGGAAGTGTTCTCTCTAATTCCATTTTCTTGAAAAGTCTGTGGAAAATTGGTATAATTTCTCCTTTAAATGCTTGATAGAACTCACCACTAAAGACATTCGGGCCTGGAACCATTGGTGGGGGGGCGAGTTATTAACTATTTATTCAATTCCTTTTATAGATATAAGAGTACTCATGTTATTTATTTTTTCTTTTGTGAGTATTGGCATATTGTGTCTTTCAAGGTATTTGTCCATTTTATATAGGTTATTCAACTTGTGAGTATAGAGTTTTAATATAGTAAATATATTATCCTTTTAATGTCCACAAAATCAGGAGTCATAACCCATATCCCTCTTTCACTTCCAATATTTGTAAGTTGTGCATTCTCTCTTTTTTTCTTTATTAGTTTGTCTAAATGTTAGCAAGTTTATGGATCTTTTCAAAGAAACAGCTTTCTGTTTCATTGATTTTCTCTATTGTTTTCCTGTTTTCTATTTTACTGATATCTGCTATACTTTATATATTTTTTCCCTTGTTACTTACTTTGGATTTTCTTTTTCTAGTTTCTTAAGGCAGAAGCTTAGGTTATTGTTTTTATTTCCTTTTTCATAATAATATGCATTTAATGCTATAAATTTAGGTACTAGTTCTACTGTATCTCATATATTTTAATAAGTTGTGATTCCATTTCCTTTTAATTCTAAATATTTTAGTTACTCTTTAGTCTTCTTTTGGGATGCATTTAGATGTTTTTTAAGTCTTCAAATATTTGAAAAATTTTTCAGCTCTTCCTGCTATTTATTTCTACTTTAATTTTTATTGTGGTCTGAGTGTGTACTTTGTATGAACTTTATTCTTTGAAAAATTTTAAGACATTTATGGCCCATAATGCAGTGTGTCTTGTACAAACTGGAGAAGAATGTGTATTCTACTTTTGTTGAAGTAGAATATAAACATTAATTATATTCATTTATTTTTATTTCATTTTATTTTATTTTGAGATAGAGCCTCACTCTGTCACCCAGGCTGGAGTGCAGTGGTGGTCTTGGCACACTGCAACCTCCACATCCCAGGTTAAAGTGATCCTCCCACCTCAGCCTAGAGTAGCTGGGATTACAGATGTGTGCCACAACACCAGGCTAACTTTCATATTTTTAATAGAGACGTGTTTCATCATGTTGGTCAGGCTGGCCTCAGGTGGTCCACCCACCTTGGCATCCCAAAGTGCTGGGATTACTGGCATGAGCCACCGTGCCTGGCCTGCCTCCTCTTATTTTAATTGAGCATCTTCTATGATTGTATTTTTATCTCAGCTCTTGGTGTATCTCATCACCTCATGAGATGTGATCTCATCACTTCTTTTAAAAACTTGTGGTGGTTATCTTAGAATTGATTATATGCATTTTAAGTCTATCTTTAAATTAAGTAGAATTGATTATATACATTTTATGTCTGTCTTCAAATAAAATTGTTACTTCACATGTAGTGTAGGTATCCCATAAAAATACTACCAGATTGTACCTCCTGTACCTTATGACATTGCTATTGTTCATTTCATCTCTCCACATTCTATAATTACCCATTTTTTGTTACTAAACAGTTATGGATCAATAAGAATAAAAAAAGTTTTTAACTTTAATTTATTCTTTTTCATTTATTTCTTCTTTATTGTGTATCTGAATTTCTCACTTGCATCATTTTCTCTCCCCTTGAAGAACTTCCTTTAGTATTTCTTGCAAGACAGGTCAGCTGACAATCACTTAAATTTTGTTTTTCTGAGAAAGTTTTCTATTTGCTTTCTTTGTTAAAGGAAATTTCAATATATAGAATTGCTTTATCCCCCTAAAGTCATATGCTGTTGAATATATTTTCAAATACTTATTTGCCATTTTTATATTTCCTTTGGTGACTTATCCATTTATATTGTTTCCCCATTTTTAACTGAATTGTTTGCTTTCTTGTGAAATTTGAAGGGTTTCTTGTGTATTTTGAATAATAGCCTTTATTACAGATTAGTGGATAAAGAAAATGTGGCATATACATACAATGGAATATTATTCATCCTTAGAAAAAAGGAAATCCTAAAATTTGTGATAGCATTGATGGACTGAGAGAACATATTGCTAAGTAAAATAAGTGAGACACAGAAAGACAAATATACTGCATCATCTCACTTATCTGTGAAATCTAAAAAATTTAAACTCATTAGATGCTAGGGATTAGAAGGTAGGAAAAAGGGGGAGATGCTTTTAGTTAAAAGATGAATAAATTCTGGATACCTAACATATATAGCATAGTAGCTACAGCTGATAAGAATGCATTGTATACTTGAATTTTGCTAACAGGGTAGGTCTTACGTATTTCCATACAAGCACACATAGACACACACAGAGAAAGTGTAACTTTGTAAGTTGATGAAAATGTTAATTGACAGTGGCTATTACTTCACAATGTATACACACATCACATCATATTATATAACTTAAATATGTACAATTTTTATTTATCAATCTTACTTCAATGTAGCTAAAAAGAAAAATAAGAAAAAAACATTTGTACATCATAATTAATTATGAAAGGGATACATTTTCTAACAATTATGATATCTTTTTCTATGCTTATTTTAGAATATTATATTGTTATTGGGATTATTGCCCCCATTTTCTTCTCTGCACCTGTATTCCTATCTTTATCACAGTGACCAAATCTCCTCTGATAACACTTAATTTTTGCCCATCTGAAATTATATCTTAAATTCCAAAAAGTAAATGTTTTCTGATTTTTAGGGAAAAATAAGTATTTTTTAGATTTCCTAGGTGACCTCTAGAAAAACTGTGACAATTGTTGCCTTATAACATGAGTGAGACTAAAATAAATTGGGCTTCTTTGGTGTGCCCCATATTTCTTCATTAGTTCTACACAACTGCGTGAGTTGCATGAGGTCAATTCTAAAGGGCTCAGCCTTCTCAGTTCATTTTACATAATCTTACATATTAAGATGAATGGTGTCGGGGTGCGGTGGCCCACGCCTGTAATTCCAGCACTTTGGGAGGCTGAGGTGGGCAGATCAGGAGGTCAAGAGATCGAGACCATCATGGCCAACATAGTGAAACCCCATCTCTACTAAAAATACAAAAACTAGCTGGGCATCGTGGTGCATGCCTGTAGTCTCATCTATTCAGGAGGTTGAGGCAGGAGAATCACTTGAACCCAGGAGGCAGAGGTTGCAGTGAGCCAAGATGGCACCACTGCACTCCAGCCTGGTGACACAGGGATACTCTGTCTCAAAAAAAAAAAAAAAAAAAAAAAAAAAAGAGGTGAATGGTTTAGGAACTGTAGACATTTAACTCATAGATTAGAGATTGTAATAGGAAATTGGAGAGGTATATGCCCCCAGGTGAAACATTGGTCAAGTCTTTATGAGATAGTATTGAACCTAATGCAGAATTTTATTCTTCTCCATTTTTATATTATTGTTTACTATATAAATTAAACAGCCATTTAGTTGCATCTCTAGGTGGTTTTTGTTTTCCTCTGACACTTACTTGAATGTTCTCCTATAAAGTACTGAGCATAATAACTTACTTTTAAATCACATTGTTTTAAGGATTTATCTTTTTGCCTCATTGGTAGATAATTTTATCAAAGCAAAAAACTGACTCAACATCCAGTAGAAGGAGTATTAATTACAGTTTCTTTTTCTAGCTCTGATCCTCAATTTTATATACTACACCTGGTAAGTGAAATACATCATTCAAACACTGTCTAATTTCTATTTTTCTCTGAGAATTCAGAACAATATATTTGTACTGACTCTCCATGCTTGTAGGTCAACATATTATTATTGTAGGACTGTCTCCTTAGTTCAGCTAAAAGCTGCGTTCTTGTCACACAGCCATGAAATATTAGGCTCACAGATGCTTTGAAGGGTGAGAAAAATGGAATTTATTGGGCGAAAGGGAAAAAAGGGGAAACAGAGACTGTCAGTAAAGTGAGTCCTGCTTCCCAGCTTCCTGCCTCATAGATTGAATCCCAGCCTCCGCCCTGGAACAGAAGAGGCCAGGCTCCTCCCTGCTGCAAACTTCCCGAGGCACCACCTCATTGTGCACTCCTGTCAGTGTGCAAGCTGGTCGGAGGTTCTGCTGAGGAGCCCTTTTTACTTGCTTTCTTATTATTTGCATAGTTTCATCAAGAATCTGTCCTTTTCTCTTGGGATTTAATTGGACATCCAAGGCCATACATGTGTTTATAAGGTATGAAAATACCTATTAAGGAACAAGATTGTACTTTAAATGTTGAGCCAATACCTACTAACTCCTCCACCTGTTCTATGGTTCCAGCCTCACATTGGTAAGGGAGTGTTTTCAGAAGGCCATGAATCTTACATTTTAAAACCTGGTGGAGGGAAGACTTCACCTATGTGTTTAACTCCTCTTTCTGAAGCTACATAAATAATCAGGGTCAACTATAGTCAGATAAACTTTTTCTTTTTTTGATTAAGAATAACACTTGGAGGCCGAGCCGGTGGCTCACGCCTGTAATCCCAGCATTTTGGGAGGCTGAGGCGGGCGGATCACGCGGTCAGGAGATCGAGACCATCCTGGCTAACATGGTGAAACCCCGTCTCTACTAAAAATACAAAAAGTTACCCAGGCATGGTGGCGGGCGCCTGTAGTCCCAGCTACTCCGGAGGCTGAGGCAGCAGAATGGCGTGAACCCAGAGGCAGAGCCTGCAGTGAGCCGAGATCATACCACTGTACTCCAGCCTGGGAGACCGAGCCAGACTCTGTCTCAAAAAAATAAAAAAATAAAAAAGAGAATAACACTTGAAGATTATTGACATGAAAATAAGGAACTGAGTTAGTTATGGATTAGCACTAACAGAGGACATATTTGTGATAGGGGACTGCTAAGGAAAAGTATCTAAAACTCTGACATAACACATGTATATTTAGTGTAATATTACATTATTAAAAGCTATCATCTAAAAGGCCAACCCAAAGATTACTTCATTTTCTTTTGACTTGGCTATGTATTAGTTGATTTGATCCTAGACGCTATGCAATTATGTGATAACTTCTAGGTTTCTCTCTAGTAGAAAAAGACAATGCCAGACCTTATGGATCTGTTTCCATGAAGGATATTAATCAGTTTTAATTCACAACTGATAGGAGTTCATCAAGCATCAGAAAAACTGCTCTTGAGTGCATTTACTGTATGCATTTTTGTGAATTACTGCATTATATCACATTTCCAATTCCCTTTTTCTAATAAGTTTAATAAAGTTTAAATTTTATGCTTAATAACCAAAAATACAGTGCAATTGGGAATACATATTTTTTCTTTATTTTTCTTTTTTAAATTATGGTAAAATACACATACTGTAAAATTTGTCACTTTAATGAATTTTAAATGAACAGTTCAGAGGGCATTACATTCACCAAGTTGCACAACCTTTACCACTGTCCATTTCCAGAACTCTTTAATCATCCCATATAGAAGCTCTGTACCCATTAAACAATAACTTCTCACCCACACTAGTCCCTGGTAATGATTATTCTGTCTCTGTGATTTGCTTATTCTAAGTACTTCAAGCAATATTTATCCTTTTGCATCTGGCTTATTTCAGTAAGCATAATGTTTTCAAAGTTTACATATGTTGTAGTCATTGAAGTTCTGTAGTGTATATTAGAAATTCATTCCTTAATAAGGCTGAATAAGTTTCCATTATGTGAATATGTTGTATTTTGTTTATTCATTCATTTATTGATGAACCTTTGAGTTGCTTCCTGCTTTTGGTTACTGTAAATCATGGTACTGTGAACATTGGTGGTTAATATCTGTTGGAGTCTCTATTCGCAATTACTTTGGGCATGTATATAGGCATAGAATTGCTGGATCATATAGTAGTTCTATGTTTAACCTTTGAGGAGCCACCTAACTGTTGTCCACAGAAGCTACACCATTTTACATTCCCACCAGCAATGCACAAGGGTTCCCATTGACTCTGAATCCTCACTAACCCTTGTTATTTTCTGGAGTTTCTTTTTTGTAATCATCCTAATAGGTGTGAAATTATATCTCATCATTATTTTCATTTGTGTTTTTCTAATGCTAGTGATATTGAGCCTCTTTTCATGTGCTTGTTGGCCATTCGTATATCTTCTTTAGATAATTATCTATTCAAGTCCTTTGCCTATTTAACAAATTGAACCATTTATTATTGTTGAGTTGCTGGAGTTCTTTATTCTATTATACATATTATATCCACATATACTGATGTCATATCACATATGTGATTTGCAGACATCTTCTCCCATTCGTTGAGCTGTTGTTCCACTGTCTTGAGGGTGGCTTTTTTTTTTGAGATGGAGTCTCCCTCTGTCGCCCAGGCTGGAGTGCAGTGGCACAATCTCAGCTCACTGCAACCTCCACCTCCCAGGTTCAAGTGATTCTTTTGCCTCAGCCTCCCAAGTAGCTGGGATTACAGGTGCACACCACCATGCCCAGCTAATTTTTGTATTTTTAGTGGAAATGGGGATTCACCATATTGGCCAGGCTGGTCTCAAATTCCTGACCTTGTGATCCACCTGCCTCTGCCTCCCAAAGTGTTGGGATTACAGGCGTGAGCCATCACACCTGGTCAACGGTGACTTTTAATGCACAGAACTTTTACTTTTGATGAAACTAATTTTTTTGTTATTTTTTTCATTCCCTGTACCTTTGATATCATATCTAAGAAATCATTGTTAAATCTAACATAAAGAATATTTTCTCCTATGTTTTTTTTTCTAAGAGTTTAAGGGTTGTAGTTGTTACTTTTAAGTCTTTGATCTATTTTAGCTTATTTTTGTATACTATGTAAGTTAAGGGCCCAAACTTTATATTTTGCCTGTGGATATCCAGTTTACCCAGTACTATTTGTTGTTATTAATCAATTTTGCTTCTTTTTTTTTTTTTTTTTTTTTTTTGAGATGGAGTTTCACTCTGTCGCCCAGGCTGGAGTGCAGTGGCGCAATCTGGGATCACTGCAAGCTCCGCCTCCTGGGTTCACGCCATTCTCCTACCTCAGCATCCTGAGTAGCTGGGACTACAGGCCACCACGCCCGGCTAATTTTGGTTTTGTATTTTTAGTAGAGACCGGATTTCACCATGTTAGTCAGGATGGTCTCGATTTTCTGACCTCGTGATCCGCCCGCCTCAGCCTCCCAAAGTGCTGGGATTACAGGTGTGAGCCAGCGCTCCCGGCCCAGTTTTGCTTCTAACATAGTTGTCTTATTCTAACATTTCTTGTTTTTGGGGAAAGAAAATCTGTAATTTTTTTTAACTCGTTCTTGGAACCAGCTTTCCCACCTACTGATTTCTTCAGGAATAAGTGAAATAAATTTTGACACAGGTTTATTTTGTATTTGTATGTGAGTTTTATTATTAAGCTCATTATTAAGTTTTATTATTAAGCAGAGAAAATTATACTCTGGCCATGTAAATATCCACAGTGTATTACTTTCAGAATGTCCTGATTTTTTCTCTTGCTATAAAGAAGACTCAGGGAATTTACAATAACACACCAGAGTGTTAGAGTCAGGCAGCCATTGTCAGTTGGTGGGTCAGAACTGTACATAGATTTTGAAACAAACAACAGCTACAATGACAATTTCTTATAGACAGAAAATGTAAACCCATGCTTTATTTACTTCTCTCCCAACGAACATAACTAGGCCTATTTTTTATTCTGAGACTTCTCTAAAGGGGCCTTTCATTTGTTCTATGACAGATAACTTGATAGATCAAGTGGGTTAAAACTAAAATAATAGTGTGAAACACCCAGTTATGTCCTTGTAAGCTTTATATGTTGACATTTGCATCTAGACATTTAAACATCTAGAGAACACTGCTACCATCTTCACTTATTGACAATGGCATATTATCAATTCACTTTTCCAAAGAGATAGAAGTTACTTCTTTTGACTTAGATCTGACTTCTTAAACTGTCAAATGAAGTAGCTGAGTATAACTCAGCTACTGAGTTATAACTGAGTATAATCATGAAATTATTTAAGGCTTTGAGACCCTGGAACAAACTTAGAACCACTATATTAATAGTGGCTACAAACTAGTATTAGCTGGAAGGGTTTTGAAAGATTATGTTGATTTCTTAGATATATTTGTGTCAGAGAGGCAACTGCAAGTTAATCTCTACTCTCAGTGAAAGGCTTAATGTGGACACCTATAAAATCCCCAGTGGTCATAACTTGCAGGAATCTCTCCAGAGGGACAGCATCATACCCAGTAGGGCGACATTAATTTCCTCAGGATAGACCACCAATTAAAAAAAAATACAGAACTAGGCATGAGTCAACTTCTCCCTTAAAATTGTATTTCTCATCTAAATGAAAGCACATTTTTAAGAGAGAAAGATGTGTAAGATATAGAAATATTAAAGTAAGGGCTACAGTACATATAATACAAAGCAAATGAAGAGAGGAGGCTAAATATCAAGTTGTAGGTGGTGAGTTATACTCAGATACTTCATTTGACAGTTTAAGAAGTCAGATCTAAGTCAAAAGAAGTAACTTCTATCTCTTTGGAAAAGTGAATTGATAATATGCCATTGTCAGTAAGTGAAGACGGTATCAGTGTTCTCTAGATATTTAAAATATTGTAAGACATTTGTTCATATAAAAATTGTTAATCATCTTGCTTGCTATGGGCTTTTTAAAAAGAATTAAGGGCTACTCCTTTTAGTAAACATGTAACTCTATACATTGAAAAAATCCAATTGTAAATTGACTTGCTATCCTTTCCTTCAATACAAACATTAGCCTCAAATGCAAAAGTGGCATGGATTCAGAGTAAATTAAGTGAAAATATGAAGGGATGGCCAGCCCCTCCACACCTGTGGGTTCTTCTAGTCAGGTGGGATGAGAGACTGAGAAAAGAAATAAGACACAGAGTCAAAGTATAGAGAAAGAAGTGTGGGCCCAGGGGACCGGCGCTCAGCATACCAAGCACCTGCACCGGCACCGGCCTCTGAGTTCCCTCAGTTTTTATTGATTATTATTTTCATTATCTCAGCAAGAGGAATGCGGTAGGAGAGCAGGGTGATAATAGGGAGAAGGTCAGCAAAAAAACATGTGAACAGAAGAATCTGTGTCATAATTAAGTTCAAGGGGAGGTACTATGCCTGGATGTGCACGTAGGCCAGATTTATGTTTCTCTCTGCACAAACATCTCAGTGGAGTAAAGAACAATAAAGCAGCATTGCTGCCAACGTGTCTTGCCTCCCACCATAGGGTGGTTTTTCTCCTATCTCAGAATTGAACAAATATAAAATCAGGTTTTATACCGAGACAGTCCGCTCCCAGGAGCAGGCAGGAGACAGTGGCCTTCCTCTATCTCAACTGCAAGAGGCTTTCCTCTTTTACTAATCCACCTCAGCACAGACCGTTTATGGGTGTTGGGCTGGGGGGTGATCAGGTCTTTCTCATCCCATGAGGCATATTTCAGACTATCACATGGGGAGAAACCTTGGACAATACCCGGCTTTCCAGGGCAGAGGTCCCTGCCATTTTCCGCAGTGCATTGTGCCCTTGGTTTATCGAGACTAGAGAATGGCAGACTTTTACCAAGCATACTGCTTGTAAACCTTTTGTTAACAAGGCACAGCCCTAGATCCCTTAAACCTTGATTCCATACATGTTTTTGTGAGCTCAAGGTTGGGGCAAAGAGGTTGGGGCAAAGTGATTGGGGCAAAGTTACAGATTAACAGAATCTCAGGACACAAAGCAATTGTTCAAGGTACAGGTCAAAATGGAATTTATTATGTCTTCCCTTTCTACATAGACACAGTAACAGTCTGATCCCTCTTCCTTTTCTCTACAAAATAGAAATGATCATTAGCAACAGAAGAAAACTAAAACGAATAACTTATTTTTTAAAAGTAACATATTGGCTAGGCATAGTGGCTCTTGTCTGTAATCCCAGCATTTTGGCAGGTGGAGGCAGGCAGATCACTTGAGGTCAGGAGTTCGAGATCAGCCCGGTCAACATGGTGAAACCTCACCTCTATTAAAAATACAAAAAATGGGCTGAGCACGGTGGCTCATGCCTATTATTCCAGCACTTTGGGAGGCTGAGGCGGGTGGATCAGGAGGTCAGGAGTTCGAGACCAGCCTGACCAACATGGTGAAACCCTGTCTCTACTAAAAATACAAAAATTAGCCAGGCATGGTGGCACATGCCTGTAATCCCAGCTACTCAAGAGGCTGAGGCAGAAGAATTGCTTGAACCTGGGAGGTGGATAGCCGGGCATGGTGGCGTGTGCCTGTAATCCCAACTACTCAGGAGGCTGAGGCAGGAGAATCACTTGAACATGGGAAGCGGAGGTTGCAGTGAGCCGAGGTTGTGCCATTGTATTCCAGCCTGGGTGACAGAGCAAGACTCTGTCTCTAAAAAAAGAAAAAACATAAAAACAAAAAACAAGCTGGGCGTGGCTGGTGTCTGCCTGTGATTCCAGATACTTGGGAGGCTGAGGCAGGAGAATAGCTTGAATCTAGGAGACTGGGGTTGCAGTGAGTCAAGATGGCACCACTGCACTTCAGTCTGGGGGACAGAGTTAGGCTCTGTCAAAAAAAAAATGCAGCAGTGTATTATGCTTATGCTTAGGATTTAGGCTGAACTACCATTTAAAATGTATTGTATCCTTTCATTCTTCCTTTCCTAAGATTCCACATAGATATTGTAGAGAAGTCCAAACTCAACACCATTTGTTTACATTACTAAGGTCTTTAAAATTTTAAATAGATTTAAGTATTTAACTTAACCAAAACTAAACGCCTAGAGACTTGTCTTCACAGAAAATGAGCTTAATTCATATTTTTCTCAAACACTTGCCAAAACCTTAAACTTAAACCCATTTTCAATGCAAGTAGTGGCTAACTTTTTTTGTGCATATCTTTTTGCCTTTTTGCCATTTCCTTAGCCAGATGTGCCTATTTATCTTTTTATTTTTGAGATGGAATTTCGCTTGGTCGCCCAGGCTGGAGTGCAATGGCACGTTCTCATCTCACTGCAACCTCAGCCTCCTAGGTTCAAGCGATTCTCCTGCCTCAGCCTCCTGAGTAGCTGGAACTACAAGTGTGCACCACCACGCCCAGCTAATTTTTGTATTTTTAGTAGAGACAGAGTTTCACCATGTTGGCCAGGATGGTCTCGATATCTAGACCTCATTATCTGCCCACCTCGGCCTCCCAAACTGCTGAGATTACAGGCCTGAGCCACTGTGCCCAGCTGTGCCTATATTTTTAAAAGATCAAAGGTTTATCTGAAATAAAGAGAAACTACAGGATTTTGTTCTGAGATTCAGTCAAGACCTGGTAAGACAGATAATGTAGAGCAAGCTTTGATCTTATCAATGTTTATATCAGCTGAAAGAAACACTCGCACACTCAGAGTCTTTCCTAGTGATTAAAGAATTTAATTTTCATTCACAATTCACAGTAAGGAATTGTTGTAAGAAAATACTGGATTTCAATATAGCATTTTCTCCTTTTTTTGTTGTTTTAATGGCATAATATGCTATGTGTGAGGTCAACATGAGGAGAGACAAAAAGAACAAGTTTATAAATGTGGTTATATTGTCCCCTAACCTAGGAAAAAATGACAATATTGACATTAAAATTTGCATTGTTTGCCTCTGGCTTTCATGGGAATTGTTTTGTTTGTTTGTTTTTGTTTGTTTTGTTTTTGTTTTTTACAGTTGGTATGCCATTTTTTAATGTTACCTATAACTAGCATTAGAATTGTATGGGAGCTTTTGTTTCTTTTGTTTTGGAGGATGTGATTCTTAAAATGAAATTAATTTTTTAGAACATAAAATATATCAAGGCAAGGACATTTCTAAGGGTAATACTGGAAAAGAACAGTTAATTGGTGAAGTTACCAGTAAGTTTAAGTCAATTTAAAATTAACTTAGCAAATTATATGTTCATACCACTCTGTGGACCAGTAGGGAATACAAAAATGAAAAAATCCTGACACTGTTTTATCAGTGAAAAGAGACAGGTCATTAACTTACTAAAATGTACGGCAGAGTAATGTATGTGCTAAATTATGACATATACAATAAAGGCTGCGGGAACCAAAGGATATGTCAATGAGTTTCAATAAGGGTTCAGGGACATCTTCAGAGAGGACAGAACAGTGGAATTTTTTAATTTAAATTTTATGGGGGATGGTAGGAAATTCCAGGTGGCCAGATGGTTTGACTAAATGCATGGTAGTTAGAATGTGTTGGCTCTATTCATGAAACAATGAATTCCATATGTCTGGGACATTAGGTACTGATGTGAACATGGAAGAAAAGTGTGGGGGCAAAGGAGAAAAAGGATAAATGGGAATTTCTATTTCTGTCTACATTATGCCAAGCATTATAATTTTACTTTCTAGACCAAGAAGATATTTTTATGTTTTTTTTGGGGCAGACAAGTGACAAAGTGAGATATTTATGCTTTAGAAAGGTTAGTTGTATCAAAATGTAGAAAATATTTTAAGAAATAAGAAATAAAGACTGTATGGCAAACTTTGAGATATTTTAAAAATAGGCTACATTAAGAACCTAAACTAGAAACATGTTTTTCTAAGAGAAATAATGTGTTGGTACTATTAAACATGATAGGGGAAAATTGATGGGAATCAGTGACTAATTAAACATGAGATGTAAGGAAATGAAATAATTTGATAGAATTCTGAGGTTTTAAGCCTGGGTAACTGGGAGAATGGTGATGCATTTTGCAGAGGTAGGAAATGTTGAAGATACAACTGATTTTTGAAGACTAGTAATTTTACAGTCATGCACCATGTAAATACATTTCAGTAAATGGTGGACCACATATTGGTCCTGTAGGATTGTAATGGAGCTGAAAAATTCCTGTTTCCTAGTGATGTCATTGTCAATGTAATATCATTGCACAATTCATTACTCACATGTCTGTGCTGATGCTGGTGAAAACAGACCTATCGTGCTGCCAGGCCTCTAGCACATATAATTACTTACAGAACATAATACCTGATAATGATAATAAGTGACAATATTACTGGTTTATATATTTACTACTCAATTCTTTTTATCTTTTTTTTTTTTTTTTTTTTTTTTTTTTTTTGTGATGGAGTCTCCCTCTGTTGCCCAGGCTGGAGTTGCAATGGTGTGATATCGGCTCACTGCAACCTCCACCTCCCAGTTTCAAGTGATTTTTCTGCCTCAGCCTCCCAAGTAACTGGGACTACAGGTGCCCACCACTGCACCTGCCTAATTTTTGTATTTTTAGTAGAAACAGGGTTTCACCATGTTGGCCAGGCTGCTCTTGAACTGCTGCCGTCAAGTGATCCTCCCACCTCAGCCTCCCAAATTGCTTGCATTACAGGTATGAGCCACCATGCCTGGCCCTTTTTATCATGTTTTGAGAGGGTACTACTTATTAAAAAAGAAAAAGAAAACTGAACAGTAAAGCAATTTCAGGCAGGTCCTTCAGGAGGTATCCAGAAGGAGGGATTGTTATCATAGGAGATGACAGCTTCATGTGTGTTATTGCCCCAAGGAACTTCCGTTGAGACAGAATGTGAAGGTGGAAGACAATGATGTTGATGATCCGATGATCCTGACCCTCTATAGGCCTAAACTAATGTGCGTGTTTGTGTTTGTTTTTATAAAAGAGTTAAAAAGTAACACAAAAATTAAAAATTGCAAAAAGCTTATAGACTTAGATATAAAGAAAATAATATTTTTTTAAAGTTGTACAATATGTTTACCTTTTAAGCTAAGAGTTGTGACAAAGGAGCCAAAAGGTTAAAAAAAAGTATATTAAATAAAAACATTACAGTAAGCTAAAGCTAATTTATTACTGATAAAAGAAAACAATTTAAAAATAAATTTGGCATAGCTTAAGTGTACATCCAGTACCGCTAAAGTCTACAACAGTGCCCGTAATGTCCTAGGCCTTCATATTCAGTCACCACTCACTCACTTACCCAGAGCAACTTCCAGCTGTGCAAGCTCCATTCATGGTAAGTGCCCTCTACAAGTGTACCTTTTTTTTTTTTTAACTGCACCTTTTCTATGATAAGATGCAAAATACCTACCACTGTGTTACAGTTGCCGCAGTATGTAGTACAATAACATGCTGTATAGATTTGTAGCCTAGGAGCAACAGGCTACATATACTCTACCATATACTCTAGCAGAGTAGTAGGCTATCCCATCTATGTTTGTGTAAGTACACTCTGAGATATTTGCACAATAATAAAACTGCATAAAGACATATTTCTCCAAATTTATTCCATCATCAAATGATTCATGCCTGTATGCACACATATGCAGGGGCATGCAGAGAGGGCAATTCCTGTGTCCCAGGCACTGCTTTATGCTTGATAAATCTGTTATTCACCCTCACTACAATCTTACCCAGAGACAGGCACCATTATTTTCCCCATTTCACGAGTAAATAAACTGAACACAGGTAATTTATGTAACTTGCCTAAGATCACATAACTAGAAAAGAGAGAAAAGAAATTTAAGCTGATTATAGATCTCTTTCTATTAATGATTATGATATACTTTGTAATGTTATTTCTAGCTTTGATCATTTTATGAAGGAAAATAAAATAGATTAACAAAATTCAAAAATCTTTAACATAAAATTATAAAAGAACTTGATTAACGTTATAAAGTGAGGGATAGTCCAGGCAAGGCGGCTCATGCCTGTAATCCCAGCACTTTGGGAGGCTGAGGCAGGTGGATCATGAGGTCAGGAGATTGAGACCATCCTGGCTAACATGGTGAAACTCCATCTCTACTAAACATACAAAAAATTAGCCGGGCGTGGTGGCGGGCACCTGTAGTCCCAGCTACTTGGGAGGCTGAGGCAGGAGAATTGCTTGAACCTGAGAGGCGGAAGTTGCAGTGAGCCAAGATCCCGCCACTGCACTCCAGCCTGGGCGACAGAGCAAGACTCCGTCTCAAAAAAAGAAAAAAAAAATTAAAAAAAATATTAAAATGAGGGATTAATGGGGCTGGGCGTGGTGGCTGATGCCTGTAATCTCAGCATTTTGGGAGGCCGACGTGGGCGGATTGCCTGAGATCAGGAGTTTGAGACCAGCCTGGGCAACATGGCGAAACTGCGTCTCCATTAAAAATACAAAAATTAGCTGGGCGTGGTGGTGGGTGCTTGTAATCCCAGCTACCTGGGAGGCTGAGCATGAGAATCACTTGAACCCAGGAGGGAGAGGTCATAGTGAGTCGAGATCACTCCACTGCACTGACAAAGGAAGACTCTGTTTCAAAAAAAAAAAAAAAAAAAAAAAAGGAAGAAAGTGAGGGATAAATGGAGAGAAAGAAAAACAATCATAGAGATTCCCCTTAACTTCTACCACTGAAAGCAGACACACACACACACTCAGTATAAGAGACAAGGTCAAAAGGAAAATGTCTTTACATATGAAGCCTTCCATTTACAGCTTAACTATCCCTGGAGGCCACATCTAAGGACAACCCTTTTAAAAAGCCATGGTGTGTAAATGAATATGTATTTTGTGTATATTCAGTATATTCAAGGTAAATAGTTGTTTTTATTAAAATAACAAGGGAAAAATAGTGGACCTTCCTCGCTCATGAAGAACATGAGAGGATGAACTGTTTAGGTCAAATTTTAAAAGACCAGGCTGGGTGCGGTGGCTCACACCTGTAATTCCAACACTTTGGGAGGCCAAGGCAGGCAGACCACCTGAGGTTGGGAGTTTGAGACCAGCCTGACCAACATGGAGAAACCCTGTCTCTACCAAAAATACAAAATTAGCCGGGTGTGGTGGTGCATGCCTGTAATCCCAGCTACTCTGGAGGCTGAGGTGGGAGAGTGGCTTTAACCTGGGAGGTGGAGGAGGTTGCTGTGAGCTGAGATTGCACCACTGCACTCTAGCCTGGGCAACAGAGCAAGACTCCATCTCAAAAAATAAATAAATAAATAAATAAATAAATAAATAAATAAAAAATAAAAAAGAATTAGGAAGAACAATTTAATAATAAAGTAAGTTACAAAGAAAATTTGTAGGCTGGATGCGGTTGCTCAAGCCTGTATCCCAGGATTTTGGAGGCTGAGGTGGACAGATCACGAGGTCAGGAGATCGAGACCATCCTGTCTAACATGGTGAAACCCCGTCTCTACTAAAAACACAAAAAATTAGCCAGGTGTGGTGGCGGGTGCCTGTAGTCCCATCTAATCGGGAGGCTGAGACAGGAGAATGGCATGAACCCTGGAGGCAGAGCTTGCAGTGAGCCAAGACTGCACCACTGACTCCAGCATGGGCGACAGAGCAAGACTCCATCTCAAAAAAAAAAAAAGAAAAAGAAAATTTGTGAATTTGTATGCAGTTCACTTGCTTGACCCATAAATAAACATGAATGAGTAAAATGGAAGCTCAGCTTAATAATGAGTTATTGCACAATAGGAAGAAATAAGTTAGGGATGGATACAAATTGAAAGAAGGATAAATGCATGCTAACTTCTTATCTTGATCTATAAGTCTAAAAACATCTTAAAATACCAGATGATTAAAAAAATAGTAACTTTAATTGTTAAAAATGATCATTTATTTTTCCTCAGGTGGTGGCTCAGTGTTCACTCCGAAAAATGAAAAATTGCCCATTTTTGTGAAAAAGTTCTACTGATATGTGAAGGTACCACATTATTCATTGAATTCTCTTCCTGAGTGAATGACATAGAACCCCGACAGATAAATTAATATGTTAAAATTAAAAGATTATCTAATAAACAACTTTTCCGTTTTAATAAAATTGTATTTTGATATATTTGAAAGATTTTTATTGTAGTGAAAAATATATATAAAATAAAAAATAATGATGTTGGATAATATCATAAATGATTTCTAAGGTAGAAGGTTCTATTGTTTAGAAAAACATCTTTGAGAGTCTTTTTTCATGAGGCACTAAATTCCTTGGTATAATAGGGTACCCTAGACAAAGTAGCTTTTTTTTTTTTTTTTTGAGAGTCTTGCTCTGTCACCCAGGCTGGAGTGACAAATCTCGGTTCGTTGTGACCTTTGCCTCCCAGGTTCAAGTGATTATCTTGCCTCAGCCTCTTGAGCAGCTGGGATTACAGACATGTGCCATCATGCCCAGCTAATTTTTGTATTTGTAGTAGAGACAGGGTTTCACCATGTTGGTCAGGAGGTTTTGAACTCCTGACTTCGTGATCTGCCCGCTTTGGTCTCCCAAAGTGCTGAGATTACAGGCATGAATCACTGCGCCCGACCACTTTTAGAATATTTAATGCTTCATAAATATGACGTAAAAAAGGGTGAGCTGTAATGTTAAGCAGTAACTAAGAGGAGTGCCAAGTTACCACCAGGCAGTTAGCAAGAGGGGGCAAGGCAGCCCCAGGTGTAGAATTAATAATGTGAGAGAGACTAGAAGTTCCAAGAAAATGGTAGGGTGGGGTGGAGAAATTCCTTCTGATGGGAATAAATGAGGAGATTCAGGATAGTGGTGGCAATATATGTATGTATATATGTGTGTGTGTATATATGTGTATACGTGTATATATGTGTGTATGTATATATGCATATATATGTATCTGTGTGTATGTGTGCATATACATGCATATATGTGTATATATATGCATGTTTATGCATTTTGCTGCTCTTCATGGGATGTAATTCTCCCTTATCTCCTCCACATGGTGGTCTTGAATTAATGGTGCTTGGTGCTAAGGTGGGGGTGAAAGTGGGATGAGTCTCCTCACTAGAGGGAACTGAGTAGAGAAAACATGATCTGCTCTGGAGCACAGAGAAGAGGGCAGGCACCAACAGTAAGTGAGGAGAGGCCAAGCCCAACTAACCAAGAAACTCCCAGAAAATATGGAAGACTCTGAATGCTATGAAGCACAGGGGATAAATGAATCAAGATTTTTTTTTTTTTTGAGATGAAGTCTCACTCTGTTGCCCAAGATGAGTGCAGTGATGTGACCTTGGCTCACTGCAACCTCCGCCTCCTGGGTTCAAGCTATTCTCCTTCCTTAGCCTCCTGAGTAGCTTGGATTACAGGCACCTGCCACCATGCCTGGCTAATTTTTTTGTGTCTGCGATAATATTTTGTCTTCAGCAAAATTCTATTATTGACCTTAATACATAGAACCTTATTTGTCTGCATGTCTGGTTTGTGAGCAGATATTATTTTGAGTCCTCAAAACCTAGAGCAGTGCAGTTGTAAAAGGCTTTGACTGAAGTCTTAACAAATATTTGCTAAACTGAATTTTGTAGAAATGTTCCAGACTTTAGCATGGAATTTACAACTCACACATTCTTGTTATATTCAAATAATAAACTTTACTGAGTCAGCAGCATTTAATATCAACAAGAAAACAGTGAAATAATGTATGGATTAATTCTGAATTGCAAATTTAACTTTAACGTTAAAAGTTTCCATAAGTTATCCCCAAGCCTGGAAATAAATCCAAAATTGGTCTTAGTTATATATGTGTAAAATGCATATTCATATGAAGAATGAAACGCATCATCCTATATCTTCCCTTTTTTTTTTTTCTGATTTTGTGACTTGGATTTGTTTTTACCAAAATTCAGGGATTCCCCCCTAATCCCAATGAGAATAATGTCTTAAATAAATGGAATTAAGAAGCTTCAAAATTCTTTTTTTTTTTTTTTTTTTGAGATGGAGTCTAACTCTGTCACCCAGGCTGGAGTGCAGTGGTGCAATCTCAGCTCATGCAATTTCCACCTCCCCAGATCAAGCGATTTTCTTGCCTCAGCCTCCCGAGTAGCTGGGACTACAGGTGCAGGCCACCATGCTCGGCTAATTTTTTGTATTTTTAGTGGAGACAGGGTTTCACTGTGTTGGCCAGGATGGACTTGATCTCCTGACCTCGTGATCCATGTGCCTCAGCCTCCCAAAGTGCTGGGATTACAGGCGTGAGCCACCGCACCTGGCCCAAAACTCTTTAAAGTACTCAACCTATCATAAGACTAGTAGGTGTTTCTCAACTCTCCTTCTCAAAACATGAGATCATGAGGTCTTAATGCTGAAGATTATGGATTATTTTATGTAGAGAACATGGAACAAAGCTGGACTGTGCTCTGGCTCAATCAGCTCCACTTCCACACCTCGCAGCAATTCTCAATTATCACCACCAGAGAGAAGAAGGCAGTCCCTACCTGACCATCGCCTGGCCTGGCTACCTTATCTGTCTAAACAGTGCATTGCAGGAGGCCCTTTCCTTTCTGTGCTGTTTTATTTTTTCTCCCCCAGCACTAGTTTTCTAATTAGAATAATTGAGGAGAAATACAAGATTTTCACAGAATGAAAGCAAAAGTCTTCCAAGTATGAGAAAAATAGAACAAAGGCTGTTTATATCCATATTGATTATAGTGGGAAGGTATTATTGTAATAAATGTGATGGTTATTAAAGCAAGTCTTGATTTTAAGGAAATGTTTTGTCTTGGGACTGTGACAGGAGATTATGTGATGTTCATGAGATGATCATACTGTCTCTGTCCAGGTCTCTGTAACATGTAGAACACAACCAACGTAGAGTTTCAGTCCCATTTGATTTACAGAAACAGCTTGTTCCTCAGTAGTATTCTATATATAAAAAGTAAACACACACACTATAGTTCATAGAGAATACATTCACATGGATTACTAGGAAAACTAAAGTAGCCTTTCAAAATAATTAAAAAAGAGCCAGGTGCAGTAGCTCATGCCTGTAATCCCAGTACTTTAGGAGGCTGAGGAGGATGGATCACTTGAGGTCACGAGTTCAAGACCAGCCTAGCCAACATGGTAAAACTCCATGTTTACTAAAAATACAAAAATTAGCCAGGCATGGTGGCAAGCTACTCTAATCCCACCTGCTCAGGAGGCTGAAGCAGGAGAATCACCTGAACCTGGGAGGCAGAGGTTGCAGTGAGCCAACATCACGCCACTGCACTCCAACCTGGGTGACAGAATAAGAAGTTGTCTCAAAAAAAAGATAAAGAAATAAAAATAAAAATAATAAAAATGAATTCTTCTCAAAAAACTACCTTTCTATTAGATATTTTTTATCTCCAAACATAAAAGGTAAATTTTGAAATAACTAATAGTTAATAAGAAAAACATGTAAATAGTATGTAACTAGAATTGTTAATTTCTTGAAACTTAAGGTTTGTTTTTATGTTATGTTAGCAGGATATGTAAATCTAATGACATTCAAAAAACATAAAGTGAGAAAAGAAGAGGCTGGTATTGAACATGTATATGTTTACTATATTCTAATAATGGTCGAGTTGTTTAATTTCTGCATGAATGTCTAGGCTTCACTATTAGTCTTCAGCTAAAATTCTGCCCATTTTGGTGAAGGAACTGTGTGTGGCACATAAGGAGAGCTTAATGTTAGTATTTACCATAGCCTTACTAATATAATCCTATAATATTGTTCTCCATGTTCCCAAAATTAAAAAGTAGTCTAATTCTACATACGAACTCAAAATAAATGTATACTGTTATGTGGCATAACTCAAAATATTTAGAATTAAACACAGCTCTTATTTTCTCACACATACTGAGTATGGAATTACTATTATTTTTGTTTCCTTGATCAGAGGTAGATGAAACTTGATAATATAGTCACTGACTGAAGGGCATTGTTTTGCCAAAGTTCGTTAAGTTAAAAAATATTTTGGATCAATAAATGTCTTTCATTAAAATATTCACCTACATAAAATAAGTATTCAGAATTGCATAGGACATATGAATGTCATCTTTCTTTTGCTGTTCATTTACCCAACATTTTTCTTCTTTTTATATGTGCCAGGTTGAAAATTGTCATCCCATACTCTTTTCAGCTAAGAATATTTCTGTGTTGGGAATATCTTGAATTTCCCTCAGGGGTTGATGATATTGCCCACAAAGACTTTAGGCAATTTTGATGGCCAGAATGAAAACAGGCAGCTAAGATATTTATTTTTAAAAGAAAAGAATAGAAAACTTTGTAATCTAGTCATACATTGTAGGAAGTTTTTTTTTTTTTTTTTTTTTTTAGAGACGGAGTCTTGTTCTGTAGAGCAGGCTGGAGTGGAGTGGTGTGATCTCAGCTTGCTGTAACTTCCGCCTCCCAGGATGAAGGGATTCTCTTGTCTCAGCCTCTGGGAGTAGCTAGGATTACAGACATGCCCCAACATGCCCAGCTAATTTTTGTAGTTTTAGTAGAGATGGGGTTTAGCCATGTTGGCCGGGCTTCCTCAAGCGATTCTCTTGCCTCAGCCTCCCAAGTAGCTGGGACCACAGGCGCCCGCCACCATGCCCGGCTAATTTTTTGTATTTTTAGTAGAGGCGGCTTTTCACCGTGTTAGCAAGGATGGTCTCGATCTCTTAACCTCGTGATGAGCCCACCTCGGCCTCCCAAAGTGCTGGGATTACAGATGTGAGCCATGCCCCACTCTGGAAGTAATTATTAATAATGTTTCTCCTTCCAGTTCTTCAGTTTGTTAAGCGCAACTGTTGAAAACATTTATTTGTCCCAGGAGATTATACGAAAAAATTAAGTGAATCTACTTAAACATAAAATTCCCAGTTTTAGAATAGATTCTTTTTTTTTTTTTTTTGATGGAGTTTTGCTCTTCTCGCACAGGCTGAAGTGCAATGGCACAATTTCAGTTCATTGCAACTTCCGCCTCCCGGGTTCAAGTGATTCTCCTGCCTCAGCCTCCCAAGTAGCTGGGATTACAGGCGCCTGCCACCATGCCCAGCTAATTTCTGTAATTTTTATAGTAGACCATGTTGGCCTGGCTGGTCTCGAACTAACCTCAGGTGATCCGCCTGCCTTGGCCTCCCAAAGTACTGGGATTACAGTCGTGAGCCACCGTGCCTGGCCAGATTCAGATTTTTATTAGGGATGTCATTTAGCTAATTTAATGTATTTCTATGCCATAGTTCATATTTTCTGTGCTGTAAGTATTTTCTATATGTCTGATTTATGTTGAAGAATAGTATCTCTTTAGACGCAGGGGCATACTGTGAGCATCTACACCATGGCAAATGGCTTTGCATTTTGCACTCTATACCATTGCCAAAAAAAGGTTTGATTATGCTACTAAAAATCCGACATGAATCAGTGAACACCGAAAGCCAATAATTTTAGAATCCCAAAATAGTGGAATGTTTAGAACTGTGATATTTTCAGTTTATTTCCTCCATCAATTTTCATTAGAAAGCGAGTAAGGAAAATAGTAGAATTTAGGAGTTAAAAAATCAAATTAGCGGTCAGGGCATGGTGGTTCACGCCTATAATCCCAGCACTTTGGGAGGCTGAGGCGGGCGGATCATGAGATCAGGAGATCATCCTGGCTAACAGGGTGAAAGCCTGTCTCCACTAAAAATACAAAAAATTAGCCGGGCATGGTGGCAGGTGCCTGTAATCCCAGCTACTCAGGAGGTTGAGGCAGGAGAATGGCGTGAACCCGGGAGGTGGAGCTTGTAGTGAGTCAAGATCACGCCACTGCACTCCAGCCTGGACGATAGAGCGAGCCTCTGTCTCCAAAAAACAACAACAACAACAAATTAACACCTTGCTTATTATAATAAAGAACGAAAGTAATCCAATACCTGTAACCTAGAGAATAAGGTTCACATCACTTAAAATGGCATTATATATAAAAGAAAAGATTGGTTCTACTACATACATCAGGCTTATTAAGTCACACTAGACAACTGAGGTTGCCTAAGACGTCATTGTCCTGGACTTGCAAGGGCCTCCAACTCCAGTTAAGGTGATAAGAAAAAATGAAAATGAGCAACCTAGCAATTTTCACAGGCCTCAGGAAACTGGGGCCACATCGAACCCAGTCACAGGTTATACCAATTTGATTTACAACAATGAAAGAACCATCTGCTTATACTTGAGTTACAGCACATCCCTTTGTAGACATCCATACAATAGAAAGCCCCAGAAGTTGATTCACAGTAGAACAAAGTGTTTGTGTCAAGCAAAGGAAATTCTGCACTTAGAAATTTTATCGGCACATTTGATTAAAAGATGGTGTAGGTAGGCATAAGTAAGAAAACCATAAGCAGACATAGTCAACATACTAGGTAAGTAAAACCAAATCCAGAAGGTTGTATTTAGTAATATTCATTTCAGATTTCCTTGGATAATTGTGGTTTGCCTTACATCTTTTGACTATGACATAGAGATTTTATTCACTTTTTAAAATATCTCCTAGAATGTAGCTTGAGTCAGTCAAACAGGAAAACATATTGCAGCATTCTCTCTTTTACCTCCCCCAAAGCACTGTAATATGGCTTTTGGAAATATTTCCTCATTGTCCTTTAGTTTTTGGAATGATGTCTGAGATACTGCTGTATGTAAATACAATGATATTCCATATTTCCTGTAAGTTTGCCTATTCAGAAAGCTGCATTTACATACATGCTGAAACACAATCGCTGGTGATGTATCAACCAGAAATTTTATGTGTGAGCCTAAAAGGAAGTGTTGAGTCTTTCTCTACTTAAATAATTAGAAATTAAAAGTACCTCTTCTGCATTCTACAGTTTATGTAATATTAAAAGAAGGAATTTTGGCAAAGTAACTGAGGTTATCAGTTCAGTTCAGTTTATAAATTTAGTGACATCAACTTGTCCCAGCAAAATAATCAGTAGATACTCCATAATCACCACTGTTTCTGTTTTCAAGCGGAGAGAAAAAAAATAAATTAATTGTATTATATGTTACAATCTTGGGTAAATTCTTTTCTAAATTGTTGGGTATAGCACAGCAAATCAAAGGTTGATAACATAAAATAGTGGACTAAACTTCAGCTCTAAAAAGTTAACAAATCTTGAAGTCTGCTTGCTCAGTTGTAAAATGGGGATAATATTCTCACCTTTGAGTATCTCACACAGTTGCTGTAGGATTTATTTGAGAAAAAATATGCATAAAGATGCTTTGGACATTATAAAACTGCTTCCTAATACAGAGTAAAATTATAAAATTTGATTTGAATGATACCAACTAGTTGGGGATAAAATCTTTTACATAAGAACTCCCTGAAAAAGGCAATCATGTGTCATGTCATGTTTGTCATCAAGGATGACAAGGTTTCAATTTGCCTAGGTCAGAAATGTTGTGGTTCTATTCCCTCAACAACTAGTTACTTCTGCTTCGAGTACATGTTTTCCAAAAGCTAGAAAACACCCATCAAAAGGCTACTTTCCAAACATAAAAAATAGGTTTACTTCAACACATTATGTCTGTAGGAAGAGTCAAATGAAACAAAACTACTGAATCATTTCCAGGATAGAGTCATAGTTTCCAAAATTTGGAACAGAATTGGATGATACTTGTAGGTCAAGTCCCTTTGCAGGTATAAATCCCCCCTTTAAAGTGGAAAAGTATACAAATTGTGTAATATAGGTATATATTATAGACTATACATGACTGGAATTTCAGAGGCATGTATGCAATATGAGTTTAGCATGGAGAAATAGCCAACTGGGTAAACATAATTGATCCATGCTGCTATGAAAGACAATCAAAGCTAAAGCTGATTGCCAGTTACACATTTAGATCTTTTATGCAGCGAATTATGATAAGCAGATGCAGATTTTTTTGTTTCAGGCATTTCCCCTAAAAACTATCCTACATAAGGAAATTTCCTTTATGAATATGCCAGTTACTGTGTCTATTACAGGTCTTCCAGAACATACTATTGTAGGATTTGTGAATACATATAATGGATGGAAGCAAATTAATGTTTTAGAATCTAATAAATTTTAAAAGTCAACTTAACTGAGGTTTACTTTCAATACAATAAAATACATCCAAATTAAGTACAAACATATAAAGTTATGTGGCTATCACCAATGAAGATATTGAAGCTGTCTATCACCTCAAAAGTTCTCTTGTACTCCTTACCAAAACCTCTGGCTCCAAGCAGCCATTGATCTGCAACCTACCACTATAAATTCAGTTTCTAGAATTTTGTAATAATAAACTTTTATAATATGCCTACTGTTGTTTCATTCTCTCAATATATTTTAGGATCACCTATGTTGCAAAATCAGTGGTTCTTTCTATTTTATTCTATTGTATGGAAATACTACAATATGTTTATCCTTTAGCCTGTTGGTGAACCATTTACAAATGTTTCTATTCCTTGATTATTACAAGTAAAGCTGCTATGTTCATTTGTATGCACATGTTTTCATTTCTCTTGAGTAAGTAAGAATGGAATATTCTAGGTCAAATTGTAAGTGTATGTTTAACTGCCAAACTGCAATCCAAACTGATTATCCACTTTATACTCCCACCTAAATATGACAATTCAGGGTGTTGTATGTCCTCTCAAACATTCAGAATTGACATTTTTTTGGATCCATTATAGTTTCTGTGCAGTGTTATTGCATTTTGATTTTTAAGTTCCATTCCCAGGTGGTTAATGATGCATTTTTCAGTGTTTATCAATCATTCATATATCTTTGGTTATTGTCATCTACTCAAATCTCTTGCCCATTTTGTTATTGTGTTGTTTGACTTCTCACTATGGAGTTTGATTTTTTTTTTTTTTTTTTTGGAGATGGATTCTCGCTCTGTCACCCAGGCTGGAGTGCAGTGGCAAGATCTCGGCTCACTGCAAGCTCTGCCTCCTGGGTTCACGCCATTCTCCTGCCTCAGGCTCCTGAGTAGCTGGGACTACAGGCTCCCACCACCACGCCTGGCTAATTTTTTTGTATATTTTTAGTAGAGATGGGGTTTCACCGTGTTAGCCAGGATTGTCTCAATCTCCTGACCTTGTGATTCACCCACCTTGGCCTTCCAAAGTGCTGGAAATAGAGGTGGACTTTGATTTTTTTTCTACATGTCCAGTAAAGTCTTTTGTAAAATTATTTTTCTTTCTCTCTTACTCTTCCTCTTTGACCATATCTATATCTATCCATCTGTATCTATACAGTTATAAAAATACAAACTCATAAAACTCAAGAAACCCTAAGCAACATAACACAAGTAAGCCACAAGACAAGTCAGGGAGATAGGAAGACCACAGGGTTTGAAGAGTGCAGGGCAGGACAGGGCTCCACAGCATGTCCAGGCTCCATTGTGAACAGCCCTGCAGCTTGGGTCATATGATCTTGCAGGACCTGTATTCTTGCAGGTGTCAATGGTGGTCACAGTGTGGCACACATGGCAATTCTCAGTAAAAGAATTACAACACCAGCTCCTGGGATTCTGAAACAAAGCCATGCCCTCTATAGCAGAGAATTATATGTTGGACCTAGGAGAGATGCTGTGCTTGATAAGTTACCATGCTTCTGGTGCTACCTCTTGCAGGCTGAGTTCTATTGGAACCACCAAGTCATGACACCAGAAGGGAAAAGAAGTAGTTCATCATGAGGTGGAAATAGTAAGTATGAGACAAAGGCCAAGCAAGATGAGAGCAAGTGGATAAGTTGAATAGCAGGTAACCCAGATCCTCATGTCACCCACCATGTTTGCACCAGCAACCTTCCTTCAGCTCACACCTGTGCCTGCATTTGTGTCCCTGTGGCCATCTGAAGGAGGGAGAAAGGGGCAATCTCTGTTTAAAGGTGTAGTTGCATTGCAGCCCAATGCAAGAATGACTCTGAAAGACAGAAGGAAATTAAAATATTCCCTATTAGCAGCACTGGGAGCAGTGGCCCTGGCCATCTACTTTACATAGAAGAAGCATGACCTAAGGCAGGAATATAAACAGATTTCTTTGCCGTAGTCAGTGGGTGAATCATCTGGGCAGAGGCTTAGACAGAAAAGAACTGAAATATCTGAGACAAGGAAGCTGGGTTAGAAGCATATGAGTGGACATGCAGGAGCAGGCACGGAGTGTAAAGAATCTTGTATTGCACGTTAACACTCACAAGAAAGCACTCACCACAGAAGAGGCACTCAATAACCAATCAGACAAAATGACTTAACAAGCTGCCAGCCTTGGAGATTGGCTTTCCCACAACAAGAACAACAGTCACACATATGCAATCACTCATATGACCATGTTGGCAGAGTTGGACGATACATATGGGCCCCACAGCCTGGACTTCTATGTATCAAGGTTTATCTAACTACTGCTGCCTCTGACTGTCCTACTTTTCAACAGCATAAATCAATAATGAGACTCTTATATGGCAAGTCTTTTGACCTTGAATGACCACCTTTTCATCCTCAGAGGGATATATCCTTATTCCAGGGCTGGTTTTGGCACTTCTGTTCACAGAGCCTGAGCCAGGACCACTTTTCTGAGGCTTCCAGAATTCCTGATCCACAGGCATAAAATCCCACATGGTATAGCATCTGACCAGGGTTTCTTGTTCACAGCAAAGGATGGGCAGAAGTGGGTCCATGACCATGTAATCTACTATTTGTATTACATACACTCTTCAAGAAGCAGCTAGACTCATGGAGCCCTGGAGAAACACTCTAAAGATGCAACTGATGCACTATGCTAAAGGAGACATTCTGAATGCAGGGGGCACCATCTTTTATACATATTCTATCACAGATCTTTATATAGTAGTTCTTCTTCCATAGGAAGAATCTACAGGTTCAGAAAACAAGAGGTAGAAACAGGAATGTCCCTAATTACAAATGCTCCCAATAATCTTCTCAGGTTTTCCTGTGCTTCTCATCACTGCAGCTCTGGGATCTGGAAGGCAGGCAAGTCCTGCTCTCTAAAGAAGGTTATCTGTTGGGTGCTTTAGATTCCTTAGGTCCAGTAACCAAAGGACAAGAAATACGTCACCACTGGGGCAGGATGAATACACCCTGATTAGCAGGAGGAGGTAGGGATACTTTTCTACAAAAGAAGCAGAGATAATTTCTCTCTCTCTCTCTCTCTCTCACACACACACACACACACACTCACACTCACACACACTCCCCACTCCCTTACTCTCTCTCTCTTTCTCTCCCCCTCACACAACTGGGCATTCAAAGGCAGTTCTGAGACCAACTGCTATAGCATGGGCTAGAGTTGGTCTCATTAACCTTCCTTTTCTAAGATTCCCCTTGGAAAAGAGAGGATCATGGGAATCTTGGAAGAGCTGGTATGAAGAACCTGTTTGGACAAATATGTGTGTGCTGTGGTGGGGTTAGGAGGTGAGGGTAATGGATTTTAATGACCAAGGAAATTTGCAATGCAGATATCCTGAATCAGACAGCATAAGTCAGCGACAGCCTGGCTTTAGCCCTCTGTCTCTGGAAGCACTTCTACACTTGTGCAGCAGTCATGTTTCCAACAGTCATAGAGCTACATGGGGATTGTATGTGAGGACGTTTCCAGTGAGTTGTGAGAGTCTCCAATGAGTAACTTTAATTTAAGGAGTCTGCAGTGACCTAGGCCAAAGCATTCTTGGAACCATGCTGCAGTCTCTTTCTACCCCAACCAGCCTTCCTTCCCTCTTTCCCTCTACAGGTGTAAGATCTGCACCCTAGTCTGAAGACTCTACCCACCTTCTCCTGCTTCCTCCTTCCTCCCTCTTGCAAATTTAATTCCATGGTGGTGTTTGCCCTTAGCAGATCTAAACATTAATTCAAGTCATATGATCAGATATGATGAAAAATGACTAAAAATGTCATTCATGACATGTGAGTGGTGAGCTCTGCCTGGCAGTAGGGAGGAGAGAATTCTGAGAGAAATTAATTTGGAAAAAACGATGCTGCACATCCCAGCAAATACCATCCCATCTTATCTCTGCTAGGAATATTTTTTGTAACATGCATATAATTCACTTTTGCTTTATGAAGTAAATTTATATTTTAAGAATACAGCAGCAATTTGAGTGCTGTTCACAGCTAATGTGAACTGAAATTTGAGGTTGGCTATAGAAGAAGGCCAATGACAGACGGGTTAGTAGAACAAAATGGATATAAATAGGAAAAAGTGAAAAATCAGTAAGACAGTATGTTGGAAAGGAGTACAGTAGATGGAAGAATTAATGATTCAATATTTCTATAAAGAGTCTCCATTTAGATGATTCAAAGAGTATCCATGAAGAAATGCACATTTTATTGAATATACAGAAGTGTGATTAGTGGTGAAGGAGGGTGAATTCTGTTTGTTATATGACTATGACATGTAGAGAACTTCTCATTCAAGGTGAGTGTGAAAAAATATTACAAAACATGTGGAGAATTAACTATTAGAGAGATAATGAAATAATTATACAAAGAAACCTCCTAGAGATGAATTCACCACAGCAAATATGAGAAATATTATAGCAAACTAAATTTTCCTTTTAAGTGAGTACACTTAGAATTCTCAACTGGCTTTTTAAGAAGAAAACATCCAGGGCCAGGCATGGTGGCTCACGCCTGTAATCCCAGCACCTTGGGAGGCTGAGATGGGTAAATCATCTGAGGTCAGGAGTTCAAGACCAGCCTGGCAAACACCATGAAACCCCATCTCTACTAAAAATTCAAAAATTAGCAGGGTACGGTGGTGGGTGCATGTACTCCCAGCTACTCAAGAAGCTGAGGCAGAAGAATTGCTTGACCTCAGGAGGCGGACTTTGTAGTGAGCCAAGATGGCATCACTGTACTCCAACCTGGGCAACAGAGTGAGCCTCTGCCAAAAAAAAAAAAAAAAAAAAAAAAAAAGAATAAAATTCATCAAAAAGAATAGAAGACTTAAAAATAAAAACAGACACCGAATGTGGTGGCTCACTCCTGTAATTCCAGCACTTTGGGAGGACGAGTTGGGTGGATCACGAGGTCAGGAGATGAAGACCATCCTGGCTAACACAGTGAAACCCTCTCTCTACTAAAAATACAAAAAAATTAGCCCAGCATGGTGGCGGGCAACTGTAGTCGCAGCTACTCGGGAGGCTGGGGCAGGAGAATGGCGTGAACCTGGGAGGCAGAGCTGGCAGTGAGCTGAGATCACGCCACTGCACGCCAGCCTGGGCGACAGAGCTAGACTCCATCTCAAAAAAAAAAAAAAAAAAGAAAAGAAAAAATATAAATAAAAACAGGCAAAAGGCCAGGCGTAGTGGCTTACACCTGTAATCCTAACACTTTGGGAGGCCAAGGTGGGTGGATCACCTGAGGTCAGGACTTCAAGACCAACCTGGCCAACATGGTGAAACCATAGCTGGGAATGGTGGCGGGTGCCTGCAATCCCAGCTACTCCAGAGGCTGAGGTAAGAGAATTGATAGAACCCTGGGGGATTGCAGTGAGCAGAGATGATGCCATTGCACTCTGGCCGGGGCAACAGAGTAAGACTCTGGGGAAAAAAAAAAAGCAGGCAAAAAAGAACAAAGTAAAGATTGATATAAAAAATTAAAAGCAGCCAGGCGTGGTGGCTCAGACGTGTAATCCCAGCACTTTGGTAGGCTGAGGCGGGTAGATCATGATATCAGGAGTTCTAGACCAGGCTGACCAACATAATGAAACCCCGTCTCTACTAAAAATTCAAAAATTAGCCGAGTGTGGTGCGCATGCCTGTAATTCCAGCCACTCAGGAGGCTGAAGCAGGAGAGGAGGCTGAGGCAGGAGGAGAGTCACTTGAACCCAGGAGTAGGAGGTTGCAGTGAACTGAGATCATGCCACTGCACTTCAGCCTGGGTGACAGAGCAAGACTCCATCTCAAAAAAGGAAAAAAAAAATAAAAGCTCTAGAAATGAAAATTATATATAAAAAAAAGTGTAAATGCAATAAACACAAAGAATTAGTCAATTGGGAGATAATGATGAATTTATCCAGATAAAAGGATTTAAAAGTCAGAAAGACCAGTCAAGAAAGTCCCCAATACATGTATGATAGGAGTTCCAAAAGGAGTCCAAAGAGAATGGAGAAGCCATATTTAAGGACAGTATTCATCCACTCAGCAAACTCTCACTAAGGGCCCACTTTGATGACGTTTCCATTCTAATGGTAGAGAATACTTATACACAAGAAAACACTGGCAATGCCTTCACTATTTGTATACTTGACATGATGCCATAAAATTTCCATTGCAGAGGAAAGACTTGAGGACTCTAATTTAAAGTATAAAACAAGTGCTGAGCAGAAGAAATAAAAATGAATCCATATCCAGACACATTGATGACTCTGAATTTTAGTGTTTACAAAGCAGTTCTTTAAAATTAATTTTCAGTAAGAGGATGTGTATATCACCTTCACTGTTTTCCTTTTTGTTTTGATCTATTCCTCTTGCTTATTCTAGTTTCAAATGATTTCTTCAAAAAAAGTCTTAAAAGTCTTATCCATTTATGAATCGATTTATATCTTTCATTTTCTAGATTATAATTTTTACTTTTCTGTTATTAATTTCCTTCCATTAGGTATGTTTTTTGATCCTGTATTTACTTACTGACATGAATGATTAACTCATTTATCTTCTCTGGCTTAGTAAAAAAAAAATTGAAAATCTTGAAATTATATATGTTTCTTATTATCTTTCTTAATTATATTGTGTGTAGAGAGGTTTGTTAACTTTTCCAAAAAGTAGATTATTTATTTATAGGTTAGTTGTTTCTTCTTATAGTAATTTCACTTGGAGGATAAATGTTAAAATTTGAAGCACAAAAACTTTTTGTTGACCTTTAAAAAACTATATTTTTATTTGAAAGGTACAGTGTTGGATATTTTTACTAAAATAACATAATTATTTACACACCGTCTTATCTAATTACCCTGTTTTAGTTCCTATGAACCTTATTATAAACCAGCAATATTTCTTCTGGCCTATGTATAAGCTTTTATTTTTATATTTAAATAAAGCTATTTAATGAAAGAAATACCATTGTGTATTTTTAAATTATAGACAGTAGACTTACTCAAATAAAAATGTCTTCTCTCTTCTAGTTGATAAACTTATTTCTGATTCGCATTTCTCTAGTTTATATATCTACAATCACAGCTGTTTCCTATACTAATGTAATCATTTCTGCATACACTGAGGGTGTATTATTTACAATATGACATGTAAAATATTTTAACAAGAGTTATTGTTTTGCAATTGTATAGTTTTTATTATTTCCATTTTTCTTGTTGAAGATGCTTATTCTCTCTTTTTCATAATTTACTATACCTTCATCTTTCTTCCTTTCTTTCTTTCCTTCTTTCTTTCTTTCTTTCCTTTCTTTCTTTCCTTCTTTCTTTCTTTTCTTTCTTTCTTTCTCTCTCTCTTTCTTTCTTTCTTTCTTTCTTTCTTTCTTTCTTTCTTTCTTTCTTTTTTTCTTTCTTTTTTTGAGACAGAGTCTCCCTCTGTCGCCCAGGCTGGAGTGCCGTGGTGCGATCTCGGCTCACTGCAAGCTCTGCCTCCCGGGTTCACACCATTCTCCTGCCTCAGCTTCCTGAGTAGCTGGGACTACAGGCATCCGCCACCATGCCCCGCTAATTTTTTGCATCTTCAGTAGAGACGGGGTTTCACTGTGTTAGCCAGGATGGTCTCCATCCCCTGACCGCGTGATCTGCCCGCCTTGGCCTCCCAAAGTGCTGGGATCACGGGCATGAGCCACCGCGCCCAGCCTTTTTTTTTTTTTTTAGACAGTTTTTGCTCTGTTGCCCCAGGTTGCAGTCCAGCAGTGAGATCTAGCCTCACTTCAACCTCCGCCTCCAGGTTCAAGCGATTTTCCTGCCTCAGCCTCCCGAGTAGTTGGGATTACAGGCGCCCACCACCATGCACAGCTAATTTTTGTATTTTTAGTAGAGACGACGTTTCGCCATGTTGGCTAGGCTTGTCTCGAAATCCTGACCTCAGGTGATCCACCCAGCTCGGCCTCCCAAAGTACTGGAATTACAGGCGCGAGCCACCGTGCCCAGCCCAGTCCTTGTATTTTTAAGGTTTCATTTGTGTATTTTCTTTAGGAAAATATTTCAATAATTTATCCCTGCAACTAGCTGAAGTTATAAAATTACTTCTGGATTTGGGAAGATTATACCTGAGTATGGCAAAGGATTAGAAATAATAGCTAGCAGCTGGGTGCAGTGGCTCACGCCTGTAATCCCAGCACCTTGGGAAGCCAAGGCGGGCAGATCAGAAGGTCAAGAGACATAGACCATTTTGGCCAAAATGGTGAAACCCCATCTCTACTTAAAAAATAAAATTTAAAAAAAAATTAGCTTGGTGTGGTGGTGCGTGCCTGTAATCCTGGCTACTCAGGAGGCTGAGACAAGAGAATCGCTTGAACTCGGGAGGCAGAGGTTGCAATGAGCCAAGGTTGCGCCACTGCACTGTAGGCTGGAGACACAGCAAGACTCCGTCTTAAATAAATAAATAAATAAATAAATAATAGCTAACTTCTTCTATCTGCCAGGCACTGTGCTAAATACTTTGCATGAAGATGATAATTTCAAAACTAAACACAGAAGAGCAAGTGTAAAAGAAGTAATTTCTTTCTTTCTTTTCTTTTCTTTTTTTTTTATTTTTTGTTTGAGACAGTCTCTCTCTGTGGTCCAAGCTGGAGTGCAGTGGCGGGATCTCGGCTCACTTCAACCTCTACCTCCCGAGTTCAAGCAAATCTCCTGCCTCAGCCTCATGAGTAGCTGGGATTACAGGCATCCACCACCAGAGACGGCTAATTTTTTCTTTGTATACTTTTATTTAATTCGGCTTAGGTTACTTGTTTATTAGTAGTAGTTTTGCATCTATGGGATTGTTGTATAAAATAAATGGTTTAAATATGTAGAATACTTAAAAGTCATTCTTTCTGCATTTGAGATTTTGAGCCTTTAAAGAGGGCAATATACGGGTAGAGACACAACCAAAAAAGAGAATTTTAGGCCAATATCCTTGATGAACATTAATGCAAAAATCCTCAATAAAATACTGGCAAAACGAATCCAGCAGCACATCAAAAAGCTTATCCACCATGATCAAGTGGGTTTCATCCCTGGGATGCAAGGCTGGTTCAATATATGCAAATCAATAAATGTAATCCAGCATATAAACAGAACCAAAGACAAAAACCACATGATTATCTCAATAGATGCAGAAAAGGACTTTGACAAAATTCAACAACCCTTCATGCTAAAAACTCTCAATAAATTAGGTATTCATGGGACGTATTTCAAAATAATAAGAGCTATCTATGACAAACCCACAGCCAATATCATACTGAATGGGCAAAAACTGGAAGCATTCCCTTTGAAAACTGGCACAAGACAGGGATGCCCTCTCTCACCACTCCTATTCAACATAGTGATGGAAATTCTGGCCAGGGCAATTAGGCAGGAGAAGGAAATAAAGGGTATTCAATTAGGAAAAGAGGAAGTCAAATTGTCCCTGTTTGCAGATGACATGATTGTATATCTAGAAAATCACATTGTCTCAGTCCAAAATCTCCTTAAGCTGATAAGCAACTTCAGCAAAGTCTCAGGATACAAAATCAATGTACAAAAATCACAAGCATTCTTATACAACAACAACAGACAAACAGAGAGCCAAATCATGAGTGAACTCCCATTCACAATTGCTTCAAAGAGAATAAAATACCTAGGAATCCAACTTACAAGGGATGTGAAGGACCTCTTCAAGGAGAACTACAAACCACTGCTCAAAGAAATAAAAGAGGATACAAACAAATGGAAGAACATTCCATGCTCATGGGTAGGAAGAATCAATATCGTGAAAATGGCCATACTGCCCATGGTAATTTATAGATTCAATGCCATCCCCATCAAGCTACCAATGACTTTCTTCACAGAATTGGAAAAAACTACTTTAAAGTTCATATGGAACCAAAAAAGAACCCGCATCTCCAAGTCAATCCTAAGCCAAAAGAACAAACCTGGAGGCATCACACTACCTGACTTCAAACTATACTACAAGGCTACAGTAACCAAAACAGCATGGTACTGGTACCAAAACAGAGATATAGATCAATGGAACAGCACAGAGCCCTCATAAATAACGCTACATATCTACAACTATCTGATCTTTGACAAACCTGAGAAAAACAAGCAATGGGGAAAGGATTCCCTATTTAATAAATGGTGCTGGGAAAACTGGCAAGCCATATGTAGAAAGCTGAAACTGGATCCCTTCCTTACACCTTATACAAAAATCAATTCAAGATGGATTAAAGAGTTAAACGTTAGACCTAAAACCATAAAAACCCTAGAAGAAAACCTAGACATTACCATTCAGGACATAGGCATGGGCAAGGACTTCATGTCTAAAACACCAAAAGCAATGGCAAGCAAAGCCAAAATTGACAAATGGGATCTAATTAAACTCAACAGCTTCTGCACAGCAAAAGAAACTACCATCAGAGCGAACAGGCAACCAACATAATGGGAGAAAATTTTCGCAACCTACTCATCTGACAAAAGGCTAATATCCAGAATCTACAATGAACTCAAACAAATTTACAAGAAAAAAACAAACAACGCCATCAAAAAGTGGGCAAAGGACATGAACAGACACTTCTCAAAAGAAGACATTTATGCAGCCAAAAAACACATGAAACAATGGTCACCATCACTGGCCATCAGAGAAATGCAAATCAAAACCACAATGAGATACCATCTCACACCAGTTAGAATGGCAATCATTAAAAAGTCAGGAAACAACAGGTGCTGGAGAGGATGTGGAGAAATAGGAACACTTTTACACTGTTGGTGGGACTGTAAACTAGTTCAACCATTGTGGAAGTCAGTGTGGCGATTCCTCAGGGATCTAGAACTAGAAATACCATTTGACCCAGCCATCCCATTACTGGCTATATACCCAAAGGACTATAAATCATGCTGCTATAAAGACACATGCACATGTATGTTTATTGCGGCATTATTCACAATAGCAAAGACATGGAACCAACCCAAACGTCCAACAATGATAGACTGGGTTAAGAAAATGTGGCACATATACACCATGGAATACTATGCAGCCATAAGAAATGATGAGTTCATGTCCTTTGTAGGAACATGGATGAAATTGGAAATCATCATTCTCAGTAAACTATCGCAAGAACAAAAAACCAAACACTGCATATTCTCACTCACAGGTGGGAATTGAACAATGAGAACACATGGACACAGGAAGGGGAACATCACACTCAGTGGACGGTTGTGGGGTGGGGGGAGGGGGGAGGGACAGCACTGGGAGATATTCCTAATGCTAGATGACGAATTAGTGGGTGCAGTGCACCAGCATGGCACATGTATACATATGTAACTAACCTGCACATTGTGTACATGTACCCTAAAACTTAAAGTATAATAATAATAATAATAATAAAATAAAGTACATCACCAAAAGAATACATAAAGAGGGCATTATAAAATGCCTCATGGAAAAAATATTATTTTAACAATTATTAAGGTAAAATAAAAATTTGTGACTCATAAAGACACACTTCATTTTTATCCTCTATTTTTTTTTTACAAATGGGACTTGAATACTTTAAGATAAAATTTAAAAAATCAAGTAATTTTAATCGGAAATTTCAAAAAAATAAAACCCTGAATCCAATTCAAATTTCACTTACTTGAAAATTCTCACTGATATAAATTTATTTATATAAATGTGATATAACCAATAAAGATATGCAATAGAGTCATTGTTAATTTGGTTAAAAAATTTTTAAAAACAATGCAAACTTGTATTACCTCCATATGTGTGTATGTACACATGTACACATATATGAATATTCATATATATATTTGCATACACACACCATATATATAACTGTGTATAAATGAATAACAATGGAATGTCAGTTGGCCTCTACTACAACATTTGAAGGCCCATTGCACAATGGCCAGAACAGAGACGACATCGGAATGCAACTTAAAATTTCCAAGATGACTTGAATTGTATCTGAATTTCTAACAGGGCATAGAGAAATTAAAATATTGTTTGATTATGCTTCTTTGTTTATTACTGGGAGAGCCTCACATGCAAAGCAGATCAGGATATTCTCTTATCAAATGTGTTAATTAACAGTCAGTTCATAATGTAAGGGTGACTCAAATAGCAGATTCAATATCAAACAGGAAGGGCTTTTGTAGCCCGTTCTATTTTCGTTCAACCACAAACCACCCACCCCTGCTGAAATAAAAACTTAAAAGGCAGGTGGAGGAAAATATGTTCTAGACCAAGGGGTAGGTACTGGGTCTGCAAAAGACATAGTGTGCCACCCACAAACACACAAGTTCAAGGAGCGAGGCTCAATCCTTCAGAAAATTGGTTCTAACTTTCAAATCATTAGAGATATTCTTTATAAAAGATATAGCAAAAAAAACACAAAATATACCCCTCTAAGATTATTAGGAAGTTAAAAAAAAAGTGACTTGTAACTTTTAATAAATAACTAGGGAGGTAAGCTTGTTCATTTCTGAGATTCACAACTTTTATAAAGGCGTTGTATTAATACTTGAATTGTGCTATGTTCAATAGAAGCAATGAGACATAAGCCATACTGAGAGAAGAAAAAAATTTTACAACAAGAAAATCTAATGCTGTTTAATTTCTTTAAATATTTATTAATTTCTGAATGTTATGTGATTGCTTTCATATTAATTTTTCAGTAGAGAAATTGAATACAATTGAATACAATTTCTCAGTCGAGAAATTAAATACAATGGATTTTAGTGTGATGACATACTTGATGGGATAATTGTAAAATCATTATTTTAATTAGTTATAATACTTTTAGGTAGAAAAATAAAAATAAAGGAAAACTGATTTTCTTTAAATTCCATCAATTATTTCTTTCTCACAATAATTAATATGTAATTTACCAATGATGTAGTAGATTAATACCAAATTCTCTTACTTTTGGTTTCATCAAAAAATGATGAGCATTTTTCTCTGATTGATGTTTAGTTACTTTCAGATGGCTTGTAATCTTGTACTTTCAACATTGAAGATTTTTTTTTCACATATTGATACCAATCATTTTATGATATATCTGATTTTATAATTATGTATTCATTGTTTTCAAATGAGAGTTATGGTTGTATACAGTAAGAGTTATAATAGAGGAAGTTATCCGGTGCTCCAGGAATTTAAATAAGAGAAGATATAAAGATCTCAGCCTTTGTGTGAATATTTTAATTGGATCCTGAAAAATGAATGAAGATAGACAGAAAACAAGTAAAAAATGGTGTAAGCAGATGGAATAGAAGGAGTAAAAGGAGAGTAATAGAAAAGTGTGTGTGCCTTTGAAGGAACATAACCTGTTCTGGGTGTGGCTACAGCACAGTTTTGTGAAGGAAAATGTTAAATGATTGAGGAGAATGTCTCTCAATATCAGTGATTTTGTATTTTACCCTTCAATGATGGGACATAAGTAAACAATTTTTGAAAGCATAGTGGGTGTGTGTGTATATAAATATATAGCATATATATATAGTATATAGCATGTCTATACTTATACTGTATACATACATATAGTGTGTATGTATATATGTATATATAGTATATATACATACTTATTTTCATTCTAGATAGAAATTTTTGAGATGCAGTTAGAAGAAAAAGTCAGAAAGAATAGTCAAGATTATTCCAGCAGTACAGGCATGATGTGATGAATGACTACATTAAAACATCAGCAGCAACACAGAAGAGAAATGGCAGAATAGAAAGGTAATTCAAGGTAGAAACAGCTGAACTTAATAATTCATTTAGAAGGAAGAGTCAAGGTATATATACTCTAAATTTTCTTGGCGACTGGCTTGATATTATCATCATTAGCTGAGATGGGCAATGCTTTAAAAGAAATAGATTTATTTGCCAAAATATAAAATGTGTTTATGGCTATGTCAAATTTGAGATGCAGGTGGTGAAGACGGGGGGGAGAATCAGTTGACATTTTAAAATATAGGTTTGAAACCTACAGGAAAATATTGGAGTAAAAAAAAATAAAGAAAATCAAACGTCAAAGGAAATGCTGGAAGTGTGGGAATGGATAAAAGGAGCACAGGAAAAGTGTGCAGAGCATTGTTACCCAAAGTGCTGTGGGAATTTTATACACATATGAATACAACTCGCAAAACACACAAATATTTTTCTTCCCTGGATCATTTACTGGAGTCTTTTACATACACATTCTGAAGTATAAGGTATGCAGAATTTTCTAAGCGTATCATAGAAATCCATTCCAAGAATACATTTCAGGAAAACTATTGTCAATCAGGGAAACATTGGTGCAGAATAGTAAGAAAAGAAATACCCATTAAGACTAGTACTTACACAGTGGACATGAAAAAACTAGACAGCAAGGAGTTATTAAAAAGAAAGCACGGGCTGGGCATTGTGGCTCATGCCTGTAATGCCAGCACTTTGGGAGGCCGAGGCAGGCGGATCACCTGAGGTTGGGAGTTTGAGACCAGCCTGACCAACATGAAGAAACCCCATCTCTACTAAAAATACAAAAATTAAATGGGCATGGTGTTGGGCGCCTGTAATCCTAGCTACTTGGGAGGCTGAGACAGGAGAATCGCTTGAACCCGGGAGGTGGAGGTCGCAGTGAGCCGAGATGATGCCACTGCACTCCAGCCTGGGTGACAGAGCAAGAGAAAGAAAAGAGAAAAGAAAAGAGAAGAGAAGAAAGAAAAGAAGGACGGAAGGGATTTTAAAAAGAGATGAGAAGTCAGTATACTGTTTTGGAGGAAGTGTAATTTATGATTTTGGCTATAACTTGCTATGAATGGAAACAGCAACACACCACTGGATTTCAACTTTTGAGTGCTTAAGAAGGTGGAGATGGTGATTAAAATAATAATAATAATAATAATGCTAAGTGTGTAATAGTTGCTAAGTGTGTGGTGTCTGAACCCAGGATATCAGGATGTCTGGAACTAGGATTGAATCCCAGCTCTTCCACTTTCTGGTTATGTGAGTGACTGTAAGCAAATTACTTAATCTTTTAATGTTCCAGTTTCCCATATGTAAAATGAGAATTATAATAGTAAACTACTTCATGGCTTGTGAGGATGAAGTGCATGTAGAGTACTTAGTGAGTTCTCTTTGCGTATTATGTATTAGTTTCAAAATGCAGATTCTAGAGCCCTTAGATTCTCATTCAATAGGTATGAGGCAAGCACGGGCCAGGATTCTGCATTCTTTAAGGAGGTGTAATTTCCTATATCTGCTGTGACAAACTGGTTCACATTAGGTCGCTTAAAATGAGATAAAGTTATTCTTTTATGGTTCAGGAAGCTAGAAATCTTAAATGAAGGAGTGAGCAGTGCTGCAATTTTCTCGGAAGGACCTGGGAAAAAATCCTTTCTTGCTTCTTCTAGCACCGGGTGATCACTGAGCTTCATTGTCATTGCTTGGCTGGAGGATACCTCACTTTATTCTCTACCTCCATCCTCACATGGCCATCTCCTCCCTGCGTCTCTGTTTCCTCTTCCCTTCTTATGAGGATATCAACCATATTGAATTATGGCCTACTCTAATGCATTATGAGCTCATCTAGCATATCATAATTATACAGCATCTGCAAATAATTTGATTTCAAATTAAGTCATACTCACAGACATCAGGGGCTAGAACTCTAATATATATATTTTCTTTTTGAAGACACAATCTAACCCACAAAAGGAGGGGAGCCGCTTAAGATCATAAATAACTCAAATAACAAGACTGTGTGTTTAAAATAGCATTTAAATTTCTCCAAATGGCAGACAGCTTAATTCAGATCAATACCAATCAGGAGATAAAGAAGTGTTTGTCTCCTGATTGGCATTTACCTGAGATTAAAACATTATGGTAAAATACATTATCTTCAGTGATCTTTGGTTTAGGTGAGTATTCACAAGGCATACAGTTATTATCACTTGAGCCATCTCTCTCTAATAACTCTTTTCTAATCTGCTGGCCAACAATATCAGGTTCTTTCAAATCTCTGATTATTGGACCAAACAATAAGGTCCTCCATGTGAATTGGTAGAAATATTTTTTACAAAGGTAAATGAAATTTTATTTACTTGATGGATTTCTCTTCTCCTTTGTACAAAGGGGTGACCCTTTGACAGCACAGGGAAAGAACGTGATAGAAATAGACTTTCAGAAGGAAGGGCCTTCCATAACAAGGAATGCCATCTGTAATCCAGACTTTTTTCTCCTCAGGAATCCAGTCATAGGCAAATCTCTATGAATCACAGATAAATAGAAAGAAGGGTGGGAGTGTGTCAGGAGTAGGATGTTGAAAATGTGAGTAGCCTGTTCATTAATTGGTCCCTTGGAAACTGAGAAGGCAACGTGGCATACATGCAATTTCCATGGAATGATGGAAGACTGGTTGTAGTTACTATGATCCTATAATGCTCAGATCACAACGGGGTCACCCTTATTCATGACTGAGCATTCCTTCTTATTAGTATCCCAATGTGAAATTGTTTCTCAAAAAAGGAGGGGGCGGGTAATTTTTGTACAAAAGGCTTTTACTCCAAAATAAAGTGGCTTGTACTGTATTTCTCCTCTGGAGCCTTGCCGCTGGCTCCATAGGAAAATTCTGCCTCACATAGATACCTGAGGCATTGGATTCCCTAAACAAAATTGTAGATCCACTTGTACTGCAGGCCTCTGTAGTCCAAAACGTTTCTCTTTCTCTGAGTCCCACTCACAGCTGACATCCTTCTTGACATTTGCATTTTATTTAGAATACACATCCAAATATGTTTTATGTTGCCTCTAACATTCAAAAGAGCCTCTAACAGTCTTCCTTTCCCTATCCCTTCCTTCCATTTGAAAGATGTTTTCTCCACATCACTTTCTACTGCATTCTTAGACTCCCTGAAGGTAGGAAACCCACATTTTTGTCATTGGCTCGATGTGTCTTTCCTGAAGTCTATGGTAGCTGCTATTTTTCTCTAGAGCATATCAACCGGATGCTGTCCATGTATTCCATAAGTTATGTCCGTTTGGCTAGTGACATGGCCAGGGTTCCTGAGTACAAAATTGTGACACAGACAAAAATAGTTATACTTCTACAGCTAAATAGTGAAGACACTCTGCCTGGAAAAAGTAAGAAATTTCAGGTATTTACCATTTATTTAAGATACAGAAAAATAATTTGCCTAAATGTATAGCAGGAAAAGGAGATAAGTGTATTCACTAAAGCAAGGAGACTACATCTGGATTTTAAATGTGTGCCCTCAGATAGGACTCCAGTACACAGTGGCTGGATTCTGAGTGTTTGTCCCTCACACAGGATTACAGAACACTGCTACGAGTTTCTGAATGGAAAAGGAAATATCTTCACATAAAGACAAGAAAGAAGCATTCTGAGAAACTTCTTTGTGATGTGTGCATTCACCTCACAGAGTTGAACTTTTCTTTTGATTTAGCACTTTTGAAATACTCTTTTTGTAGTGTCTGCAAGTGGATATTTGGAGCGATTTACAGCCTATGGTGGAAAAGTAAATATCTTCACATAAAAACCAGACAGAAGAATTCTGAGAAACTTCTTTGTGATGTGTCCATTTATTTCACAGGGTTGAACCTTTCTTTTGATTGAGCAGTTTAGAAACACTCTTTTTGGAGAATCTGCAAGTGGACATTGGTGCGCTTTGAGGCCTATGGTGGAAAAGGAAATATCTTCACATAAAATCTAGACAGAAGCAATCTGAGAAACTTCTTTCTGATGTTTGCGTTCATCTCACATGTTTAACCCTTTCTTTTGATTGAGCAGTTTTGAAACTCTCTTTTTGTAGAATCTGTAAGTGGACATTTGCAGCGCTTTGAGGCCTATGGTGGAAAATGAAATATCTTCACATAAAAACTAGACAGAAGATTTCTGAGAAACTCCTTGTGATGCGTGCTTTCATCTCACAGAGTTGAACCTTTCTTTTGATTGAGCAGTTTGCAAAACAAGCTTTTTGTACAATCTGCAAGTGGACATATGGAGCGCTTCGTGGCCTATGGTAGAAAAGGAAATAACTTCACATAAAATCTAGACAGAAGAAATCTGAGAAACTTCTTTGTGATGTGTACATTCATCTCACAGAGTTAAACCTTTCTACTGATTGAGGAATTTTGAAACTCTCTTCTTGTAGAATCTGCAAGTGGACATTTGGAGGAATTTGACGCCTATGTTGGAAAAGGAAATATCTTCACAAAAAAAAAACGAGATAGAAGCATTCTCAGAAACTTCTTTGTGATGCTTGCATTCATGTCCCAGAGTTGAAACTTTCTTTGGTGGACAAGTTTTGAAATACTCTTTTTGTAGAATCTGCAAGTGGACATTTCGAGTGCCTTGAGGCCTATGGTGGAAAATGAAATATCTTCACATAAAAACCAGACAGAAGAATTCTGAGAAACTTCTTTGTGATGTGTGTGTTCATCTCACAGAGTTGAACCTTTCTTCTAATTGAGCAGTTTGGAAACACTCTTTTTGTAGAATCTTCAAGTGGACATTTGGAGTGCTTTGCAGCCTATGGTAGAAAAGGAAATATCTTTACATAATATCTAGACAGAAGCAATCTGAGAAACATCTTTGTGATGTGTGCATTCATCTCACAGAGTAAAACATTCCTTTTAATGGAGCAATTTTGAGTCTCCCTTTTTGTACAAACTGCAAGTGGACATTTGGAGCGCTTTGAGGCCTGTGGTGGAAAAGGAAATATCTTCACATAAAAACTAGACGGAAGAATTCTGAGAAACTCCTTTGTGATGTGTGCGTTCATCTCACAGAATTGAACCTTACTTTTGATTGAGCGGTTTGGGAACACTCTTTTTGTAGAATCTGCAAGTGGACATTTGGAACGCTTTGTGAGCTATGGTAGACAAGGAAATATCTTCACATAAAATCTAGACAGAAGAAACCTGACAAACTTCTTTGTGATGTGTGCATTCATCTCACAGAGTTGAATCTTTCTTTTCATAGAGCAGTTTTGAAACTCTCTTTTGTAAAATCTGCAAGTGGACATTTGAAGTGTTTTGAGGCATATGGTGGTTAACGAAATATCTTTATATAATAACTGGACAAAAGCATTCTGAGAAACTTCTTTGTGATGTGTGTGTTCATCTCTCAGAGTTAAACATTTCTTTTGATTGAGCAGTTTTGAAACTCTCTTTTTGAAGAATCTTCAAGTGGACATTTGGAGGGCTTCACTGCCTGTGGTAGAAAAGGAAGTTTCTTCACATAAAATCTAGACAGCAGCTATCTGAGAAACTTCTTTGTGATGCCTGCATTCATTTCACAGAATTGAACATTTCTTTTGACTGAGCAGTTTGGAAACACCCTTTTTTTAGAAGCTGCAATTGGACATTTGAAGAGCTTTGCGGCCTATGGTAGAAAAGGAAATACCTTCACATAAAATCTAGGCAGAATCAGTCTGAGAAACATCTTTGTTATGTCTGCATTCATCTCAGAGAGTTAAACCTTTCTTTTGAATGAGCAGTTTTGAAACTCTCTTTTTGTAGAAACTGCAAGTGGATATTTGAAGTGCTTTGAGGCCTATAGTGGAAAAGGAAATATCTTCACATAAAAACTAGACAGAAGAATTCCGAGAAACTTCTTGGTGATGTGTGCATTCATCTCACAGAGTTGAAACTTTCTTTTGATTGAGCAGTTAGGAAACACTCTTTTTCCAGAATCTGCAAGGGGACATTTGGAGTGCTTTGTGTCCTATGGTAGAAAAGGAAACATCTTTACATAATATCTAGACAGAAGCAGTCTGAGATACTTCTTTGTGATGTGTGCATTCATCTCACAGAGTTAAACGTTTCTTTTGATAGAGCAGTTTAGAAACTCTCTTTTTGTGGAATCTGCAAGTGGACATTTGGAGGACTTTTGGGCCTGTGGTGGAAAAGGAAATATCTTCACATAAAAATTAGACAGAAGCATTCTTAGAAACATCTTTGTGATGTGTGCATTCAACTCACAGAGTTAAACTTTTCTTTTGATAGAGCATGTTTGAAACACTCTTTTTGCAGAATCTGCAAGTGGACATTTGGAGAGATTTGAAGGCTATGGTGGAAAAACAAATATCTTCCCATAAAAACTAGACAGAAGCATTCTCAGAAACTTCTGTGTGCTGTTTGCATTCAACTCAGAGACTTGAACATACTTTATAATAGAGCAGTTTTGAAACACTCTTTTAGTAGAATCTGCAAGTGGATATTTGGACCGCTTTGAGGCCTTCGTTGGAAATGGGAATATCTTCACATAATCACTAGATAGAAGTTTCTCTGAAACTTCTTTTTTCTGTGCGCATTCAACTCACAGAGTTGATCCTTTCTTTTGACAGGGCAGATTTGAAACACTTTTTTTGTAGAATCTGCAAGTGGACATTTGGAGCGCTTTGAGGCCTATGGTGGAAAAACAAATATCTTCCCACAAAAACTAGAGAGAAGCATTCTCAGAAACTTCTTTGTGATGTTTGCCTTCAACTCATGGAGTTGAACATACCTTATGATAGAGTAGTTTTGAAACACTCTTTTAGTAGGATCTGCAAGTGGATATTTGGATCGCTTTGAAGCCTTCGTTGGAAATGGGAATATCTTCACATAAAAACTGACAGCAGCATCCTCAGAAACTTCTTGTGATGTGTACATTCAACTCATAGAGTTGAAACTTTCTTTTTATGGAACAGTTTTGAAACACTCTTTTTGTAGAATCCGTAAGTGGATATTTGGAATGCGTTGAGGCATTCGTTGGAAACGGGAATATCTTCACATAAACATTAGACAGAAGTTTTCTCCGAAACTTCTTTGTCTATGTACATTCAACTCACAGAGTTGAACCTTTCTTTTGATAGAACAGGTTTCAAACACTCTTTTTGTAGTATCTGCAAGTGAACATTCTGAGCGCTTTGAGGCCTATGGTGGAAAAGGAAATATCTTCACATAAAAACTAGACAGAAGCATTCTCAGAAACTTCTTTGTGATGGTGATGTATGCATCCAACTCACAGAGTTGAACCTTTCTTTTGATAGAGCAGGTTTGAAACACTGTTTTTGCAGAATCTGCATTGGACATTCGGATCCCTTTGAGACCTATGTTGGAAAAGGAAGTATCTTCACATAAGAACTAGACAGAACCATTTTCAGAAACTTCTTTGTGATGTTTGCATTCAACTCACTGAGTTGAACCTTTCTTTTGATAGAGCAGGTTTGAAACACTCTTTTTGTAGAATCTGCAAGTGGACATTTGGAGCGCTTTTGGGCATATAGTGGAAAAGGAAATATCTTCACATAAAAACTAGACAGAAGTATTCTCAGAATCTTCTTTGTGATGTGTGCCTTCAACTCAAATAGTTGAAAGTTTATTTTGATTCAGCAGTTTGGAAACACTCTTTTTGGAGATTCTGCAAGTGGACATTTGCAGCGCTATGAGGACTATGGTAGAAAAGGTAATATCTTCAAAAAAATCTAGACAGAAGGAATCTGAGAAACTTCTTTGGCATGTGTGCATTCATCTCACAGAGTTCAAACTTTCTTTTGACTGAGCAGTTTTGAAACTCTGTTTTTGTAGAATTTGCAAGTGGACATTTGGATCATTTTGAGGCCTATGGTGGAAAAGGAAATATCTTCACATAAAAACTTGACAGAAGAATTCTGAGAATCTCCTTTGTGATGTATGCGTTTATCTCACAAAGTTGAACCTTCCTTTTGATTGAGCAGTTTAGAAACATTCTTTTTGTAGAATCTGCAAGTGGACTATTGGAGTGCTTTGTTGCCTATGGTAGAAAAGGAAATATCTTCACATAAAATCTAGACAGAAGCAATCTCAGAAACTTCTTTGTGATGTGTGCATTCATCTCAGAGAGTTAAACCTTTCTTTTGGTTGAGTAGTTTTGAAGCTCTCTTTTTGTAGAATCTGCAAGTGGACATTTTGAGTGCTTTGAGGCCTACAGTGGGAAAGGAAATATCTTCACATAAAAACTAGACAGAAGAATTTTGAGAAACTTCTTTGTGATGTGCACGTTCTTCTCACAGAGTTAAAACTTCCTTTTGATTGAGCAGTTTGCAGACACTCTTTTTGTAGAATCTGCAAGTGGACTATTGGAGTGCTTTGTTGCCTCTGTTATAAAAGGAAATATCTTCACATAAAATCTAGACAGAACCAATGTGAGAAACCTCTTTGTGATGTGTGCATTCATCTCACAGAGTTAAAGCATTCTTTTGATTGAGCAGTTTTGAAACTCTTTTTTTTGTAGAATCTGCAAGTGAACATTTGGAGTGCTTTTAGGCCTATGGTGGAAAAGGAAATATCTTCACATAAAAACTAGAGACAAGAATTCTGAGAAACTTCTTTGTGATGTGTGCGTTCATCTCACAGAGTTGAACCTTTCTTTTGATTGAGAATTATGGAAGCACTCTTTTTGTAGATTCTGTAAGTGGGCATTTGAAGCGCTTTGCAGCCTAAGTTAGAAAAGGAAATATCCTCACATAAAATCTAGACAGAAGCAATGTGAGAAACTTCCTTGGGATGTGTGCATTCATCTCACAGGGTTAACTCTTACTTTTGATTGAGCAGTTTTGAAACTCTCTTTTTGTTGAATGTGGAAGTGGACATTTGGAGCGCTTTGAGGCTTATGGTGGAAAAGGAAATATCTTCACATAGAAACTAGACAGAAGCACTCTTAGAAACTTCTTTGTGATGTGTGCACTGATCTCACAGAGTTAAGCCTTTGTTTTGATTGAGCAGTTTTGAATCTTTTTGTAGAATCTGCAAGTTAACATTTGGAGCGCTTTGAGGCCTGTGGAGGAAAAGGAAATATTTTGACATCAAAACTACACAGAAGAATTCGGAGAAGCTTCTTTGTGATGCATGCGTTTATCTCACAGAGTTGAACCTTTCTTTTGATTGAGCAGTTTGGAAACACTCTTTTTGTGGAATCTGCAAGTGGACATTTGGAGCGCTTTGCAGCCTATGTTAGAAAAGGAAATATATTACCATAAAATCTAGATAATATGAATCTGAGAAACTTCTTTGTGATGTGTGCATTCATCTCACAGAGTTAAAACTTTCTTTTGATTGAGCTGTCTTGAAACTCTCTTATTGTAAAATCTGCAAGTGGACATTTGGAGCGCTTTGAGGCCTATGGTGGAAAAGTAAATATTTTCACATAGAAACTAGACAGAAAAATTCTGAGAAACTTCTTTGTGATGTGTGCTTACATCTCACAGAGTTGAACCTTTCTTTAGATTGAGCAGTTTGGAAGCACTCTTTTTGTAGAATCTGCAAGCGGTCATTTGGAGCGCTTTGCGACCTCTGGTAGAAAAGGAAATATCTTCACAGAAAATCTAGATAAAAGCAGTCTGACAAACTTCTTTATGATGTGTGCATTCATCTCACAGAGTTAAACATTTATTTTGATTAAGCAGTTTTGAAACTCTCTTTTTGTAGAATCTGCCAGTGTACATTTGGAGCGCTTTGAGGCCTATGGTGTAAAAGGAAACATCTTCAGATAAAAACTAGACAGAATAATTCTGAGAAACTTCTTTGTGATGTGTGCATTCATCTCACAGAGTTGAACCTTTCTTTTGATTAAGCAGTTTGGAATCACTCTTTTTGTAGAATCTGCAAGTGGACATTTGGAGCACTTTGTCGCCTACGTTAGAAAAGGATATATATTAAAATAAAATCTAGACAGAAGCAATCTGAAAAACTTCTTTGTGATGTGTGCATGCATCTCACAGAGTTAAAACTTTCTTTTGATGGAGCTGTCTTGAAACTCCCTTTTTGTAAAATCTGCAAGTGGACATTTGGAGCGCCATGAGGCCTATGATGGAAAAGGAAATATCTTCACATAAAAACTAGACAGCAGAATTCTGAGAAACTACTTTGTGATGTGTGTGTTCATATGACAGGGTTGAACTTTACTTTTGATTGAGCAGTTTGGAAAGACTCTTTTTGTAGAATTTGCAACTGGACATTTGGAGCGCTTTGTGGCCTATGGTAGAAAAGAAAATATCTTCACATAAAATCTAGATAAAAGCAATCTGAAAAACTTCTTTGTGGTGTGTGCATTCATCTCACAAAGTAAACCTTTCTTTTGACTGAGCACTTTGGAAACTCTCTTTTTGTAGAATCTGCAAGTGGACATTTTGAAGGCTTTGAGGCCTATGGTGGAAAAGGAATTATCTTCAAATACAAACTAGACAGAAGAATTATGACAAACTTCTTTGGATGTGTGCATTCAGCTCACGAAGTTGAACATTTCTTTTGATGGAGCAGTTTGGAAACACTCTTTTTGAAGAATCTGCAAGTGGACCTTTGGAGCTGTTTGCAGCCTATGGTGGAAAAGGAAATATCTTCACATAAGATGTAGACAGAAGTAATCTGAAAACCTTCTTTATGATGTGTGCATTCATCTCACAGAGTTAAACGTTTCTTTTGATTGAGCAGTCTTGAAACTCTCTTTTTGTGGAATCTGCAAGTGGACATTTGGAGCGCTTTGAGGCCTACGGTGGAAAAGGAAATATCTTCACATAAAAAATAAATAGAAGCATTTTTAGAAACATCTTTGTGATGTGTGCATTCATCTAACGGATTGAAACCTTTCTTTTGATAGAGCAGTTTTAAAACTCCCTTTTTGTATAATCTCTAAATGGACATTTGAAGGGCGTTCAGGCCTATGGTGAAAAATGAAATATCTTCACATAAAAAGTACATAGAAGCATTCTGAGAAACTACTTTGTGATGTGTGCATTCAACCCCCAGATTTGAACATTCCTTTGAGGGACCAGTTTTGAAATACTCTTTTTGTAGAATCTGCAAGTGGACATTTTGAGTGCCTTCGGGTCTACGGTACGAAAGGAAATATCTTCACATAAAAACTAGAAAGAAGAATTCTGAGAAAGTTCTTTATGATGTGCGCATTCATCTAGAAAGTTGAACATTTCTTTGAATGAGCAGTTTGGAAACACTCTTTTGGTAGAATCTGCAAGTGGACATTTGGAGCGCTCTGAGGCCTATGTTACAACAGGAAATATCTTCACATAAATTGTAGACAGAAGCAATCTGTGAAACTTCTTTGTGATGTGTGCATTCATCTCAAAGAGGTAAAGCTTTCTTTTGATAGAGCAGATTTGAAACTCTCTTTTTGTAGAATCTGCAAGTGGACATTTGGAGCGATTTGATGCATGTGGTGGAAAAGTTAATATCTTCATATAAAAACTAGACAGAAGAATTCTGAGAAACTTCTTTGAGATGTCTGCGTTCATCTCACAGAGTTGAAACTTTCCTTAGATTGAGCAGTTTGGAAACACTCTTTTTGTAGAATCTGCAAGTGGACATTTGGAGAGCTTTGCGGCCAATGGTAGAAAAGGAAATATCTTCACATAAAGTCTAGACAGAAGCAATCTGAGAAACTTCTTTGTGATGTGTGCATTCATCCCACAGAATTAAAAGTTTCTTTTGATTTAGCAGTTTTGAAACTCTCTTTTTGTAGAATCTGCAACTGGACATTTGGAGTGCTTTGTGCCCTATGGTAGAAAAGGAAATATCTTCATATAAAATCTTGACAGAAGCAATCTGAGAAGCATCTTTGTGATATGTGCATTCATCCCAGAGAGTTAAAACTTTCTTTTGATTGAGGAGTATTGAAACTCTGTTTTTGTAAAATCTGCAAGTGGACTTTTGGAGCCCTTTGAGTCCAATGGTGGAAAAGGAAATATCTTCCCATAAAAACCAGACAGAAGAATTCTGAGAAACTTCTTTGTGATGCGTGCATTAATCTCACAGATTTGAACCTTTCTTTTGATTAAGCAGTTTGCAACCACTCTTTTTGTCGAATCTGCAAGTGGACATTTGGAGGGCTTTGTGGCCTATGGAAGAACAGGAAATATCTTCACATAAAATCTAGACAGAAGCAATCTCAGAAACTTCTGTGTGTTGTGTACATTCATCTCACAGAGTTAAAATTTTCTTTTGATTGAGCAGTTTGGAAACTCTCTTTTTGTAGGATCTGCAAGTGGACATTTGCAGTGCTTTGAGTTCAATGGTGGAAAAGGAAATATCTTCACATAAGAACTAGACAGAAGAATTCTGAGAAACTTCTTTGTGATGTGTGCGTTCATCTCACAGAGTTGAACTTTTCTTTTTATTGAGCCGTTTGAAAACACTGTTTTTGTAGAATCTGCAAGTGGACATTTGTAGCACTTTGGAGCCAATGGTAGAAAAGGAAATATCTTGACGCAAAATCTACACAGAAGCAATCTGGGAAACTTCTTTGTGATGTGCGCGCTCATCTCACAAAGTTAAACCTTTCTTTTGATTGAGCAGTTTTGAAACTCTCTTTTTGTAGATTCTGCAAGTGAACGTTTGGAGCGGTTTGAGACCTACGGTGGAAAAGGAAATATATTCACATAAAAACTAGATAGAATCAATATGAGAAACTACTTTGTGATATGTGCGTTCATCTCCCAGATTTGAATCTTTCTTTTGATGGTCCAGTTATTTATTACTCTTTTTGTGGAATCTGCAAGTGGACATTTCAAGCCCCTTGAGGCCTACTGTGGAAAATGAAATACATTCACATAAAAACTAGACAGAAGAAAACTGAGAAACATCTATGTGACGTGTGCGTTCATCTTACAGAGTTAAACTTTTTTTGATCGAGCAGTTTGGAAACACTTTTTGAACAATCTGCAAGTCGACATTTGAAGCTCTTTGAGAACTGTGGTGGAAAAGGAAATATCTTCACATAAAAACTAGACAGAAGAATACTGTGAAATCACTTTGTGATGCGTGCGTTCATCACACAGAGTTGAAAGTTTCTTTTCATTGGGCTGTTTGGAAACACTCTTTTTGCAGAATCTACATGTGGACAATTTTAGCGCTTTGCGGCCTATGGTAGAAAATGAAATATCTTCACATAAAATCTAGACAGAAGCAATCTGACAAACTTCTTTGTGATGTGTTCATTCATCTCACAGAGTTAAACCTTTCTTTTTATTGAGCAGTTTTGAAACTCTCTTTTTGTAGTATCTGCAAGTGGACATTTGGAGCCCTTTTAGGCCTGTGGTAGAAAAGGAAATCTCTTCACATAAAAACTAGACAGAAGAATTCTGAAAAACTTCTTTGTGATGCGTGCTTTCATCTCTCATAGTTGAAACTTTATTTTGATACAGCAGGTTGGAAACCCTCTTTTGTAGAATCTGCAAGTGCACATTCGGAGCGCTTTGTGGCCTGTAGTAGAAAAGGAAATATCTTCACATAAAGTCTAGACTGAAGCAATCTGATAAACTTCTTTGTGATGTGTGCATTCATCTCATGGAGTTAAACTTTTCTTTTGATTGAGCAGTCTTGAAGCTCTCTTTTTGTAGAATCCGCAAGTGGATATTTGGAGCTCTTTGAGGCCAACAGTGGAAAAGGAAATATCTGCACATAAAAACTAGACAGAAGAATTCTGAGAAACTTCTTTGGGACGTGTGCATTCATCTCACAGATTTGAACCTATCTTTTGATTGAACCGTTGGGAAACACTCTTTCTGTAGAATATGCAAGTGGACATTTGGAGAACTTTGTGGCATATGGTAGAAAAGGAAATATCGTCACATAAAATCTAGACAGAAGCCATCTGAGAAACTTCTTTGTGATGTGTGCATTTATCTCACAGAGTTAAACCTTTTTTTTGATTGAGCAGTTTGGAAACACTCTTTTTGTAGAATCTCGAAGTGGACATTTGGAGCGCTTAGAGGCCTATGGTGGAAAAGGAAATATCTTCACATAAAAACTAGACAGAAGAATTCTGATAATCTTCTTTGCGATGTGTGCGTTCATCTCACAAAGCTGAAATTTTCTTTTGATTGAGCAGTTTGGAAACTCTTTTTGTAGAATCTGCAAGTGGACATTTGCAATGCTTTGCGGCCTATGGTTGAAACAGAAATATCTTCACATAAAACCTAGACAGAAACAATCTGAGAAACTTCTTTGTGATGTGTGCATTCATCTCACAGAGTTAAACCTTTCTTTTGATTGAGCGGTTTTGAAATTCTCTTTTCATAGAATCTGCAAGTGGACATTTGGAGCGCTTTGAGGCCTGTGGTGGAAAAGGTAATATCTTCACATAAAAACTAGACAGAAGAATTCTGACAAACTTCTTGGGAATGTGTGCGTTCATCTCACAGACTTGAACCTTTCTTTTGATTGAGGAGTTTGGAACCACTCTTTTTTGTAGAATCTGCATATGGACATTTGAAGCGCTTTGCGACCTATGGTAGAAAAAGTAACACCTTCACATAAAATCTAGAGAGAAGCAATCGGAGAAACTTCTTAGTGATGGGTGCATTCATCTCACAGAGTTTAAACTTTCTTTTGATTCAGCAGTTTTGAAACTCTCTTTTTGTAGAATCTGCAAGTGGACATTTGGAACGCTTTGAGGCCTATGGTGGAAAAGGAAATATCTTCACATAAAAACTAGAAAGAAGAATTCTGACAAACTTCTTTGTGATGTGTGCGTTCTTCTCACAGAGTGGAACCGTTCTTTTGATTGAGCAGTTTGGTACCACTCTTTCTTGTAGAGTCTGCAGGTGGGCATTTGGAGAGCTTTGCGGTCTATGGTAGAAAAGTAAATATCTTCACATAAAATCTACACAGAAGCAATATGAGAAACTTGTTTGTGATATATGCATTCATCTCACAGAGATAACCCTTTCTTTTGATTGAGCAGTTTTGAAACTCTCTTTTTGTAGAATCTGCAAGCGGACATTTAGAGCGTCTTGAGGCCTATGATGGAACAGGAAATATCTTCACATAAAAATTAGACAGAAGAATTCTGAGAAACTTCTTTGTGATGAGTGTGTTCATCTCACAGAGTTGAACATTTCTTTTGATTGAGTAGTTTGGAAACACTCTTTTTTTGTAGAATCTGCAAGTGGACATTTGGAACTCTTTGCGGCCAATGGTAGAAAAGGAAATATCTTCACATAAAATCTAGACAGAAGCAATCTGAGAAACTTCTTTGTGATGCGTGCATTAATCTCACAGAGTTAAACCTTTCTTTTGATTGAGCAGATTGGAAACTCTCTTTTTGTAGAACCTGCAAGTGGACATTTGGCAGCGCTTTGAGGCCTGTGGTGGAGAAGGAAATATCTTCACATAAAAAGTAGATAGAAGCATTCTGAGAAAGTTCTCTGTGATGTCTGCATTCATCTCCTGGAGTTCCAACTTTCTTTAGGAGAACCAGTTTTCAAATTCTCTTTTTGGAGAATCTGCAAGGGGACATTTCAAGCACCTTGAGGCTTAAGTTGGAAAAGGAAATATGTTCACAAAAAAAAAACAGAAGAATTCTGAGAATCTTTTTTATGATGTGTACGTTCATCTAACAGAGTTGAACCTTTCTTTTGATTGCGTAGTTTGGGAACACCCTTTTTGTAGAATCGGCAAGTGGACATTTGGAGCGCTTTGCGGCCTATGATAGAAAAGGAAATATCTTCACATAAAATCTAGAAGGAAGCAATCTGAGAAACTCCTTTGTGATGTGTGCATTCATCTCACAGAGTTGAAACTTTCTTTTGATTGAGCAGTTTTGAAACACTCTCTTCGTGAAATCTGCAATTGGATATTTGGAGCCCTTTGAGGCCTACTGTGGAAAAGGAAATATCTTCACATAAAAACTACTCAGAAGCATTCTGAGAAACACCATTGTGATGTTTGCATTCAACTCACAGAGTTGAAACTATGTTTTGATTGAGCAGTTTTGAATCTCTCTTTCTGCAGAAACTACAAGTGTATGTTTGGAAAGCTTTGAGGCCTATTGTGGAAAAGGAAATATCTTCACATAAAAACTACACAGAAGCATTCTGAGAAACTACTTTGTGAGGTGTGCATTCAACTCACAGAGTTGAAATTATCTTCTCTTTGAGGAGTTTCCAATCTCTCTTTTTGTAGAATCTGCAAGTGGATATTTGAAGATCTTTGCACCCTATGGTGGAAAAGGAAATATCTTGAAATAAAAACTACACAGAAGCATTCAGAGAAACTTCTTTGTGATATGTGCATTCAACTCACAGAGTTGAACCTATCTTTTGATTGAGCAGTTTTGAATCTCTCTTTATGCACAATCTGAAGGTGGATATTTCGAGCCCTTTGAGGCCTACAGTGGAAAAGCAAATATCTTCACATAAAAACTATGCAGAAGCATTGTGAGAAACTACTTTGTGAGGTGTGCATTCAACTCACAGAGTTGAACTTATCTTCTCATTGAGCAGTTTTGAATTTATCTTTTGGTAGAATCTCCAAGTGGATATTTGGAGCCCTTTGCGCCCTATGGTGGAAAAGGAAATATCTTCAAATAAAAACTACACAGAATCACTCAGAGAAACTGCTTTGTGATGTGTGCATTCATCTCACAGGGTTGAACCTAGCTTATGATTGAGCAGTTTTGAAATACTCTTTTTGTAGGATCTTCAAGTGGATATTTGGAGCGCTTTGAGGCCTACAGTGGAAAACTAAATATCTTCAAATAAGAACTACACAGAAGCATTCTGAGAAACTTCTTTGTGATGTGTGCATTCATCTCACTGAGTTGAACCTTTCTTTTCATTGCGCAGTTTTGAAACACCGTTTTTGTAGAATCTGCAAGTGGATATTTGGAGAACTTTGCCGCCTATTGTGGAAAAGGAAACATCTTCACATAAAAACTACTCAGAAGCATTCTGAGAAACTTCTTTGTGATGTGGGCATTCAACTCACAAAGTTGAACCTATCTTTTGATTGAGCAGTTTAGAGTCTCTCTTTTTCTATAATCTACAAGTGGATATTTGGAGCCCTTTGCGCCCTATGGTGGAAAAGGAAATATCTTCAATAAAAACTACACAGAAGCATTCTAAGAAACTTCTTCGTGATGTGTACAGTCAACTCACTGAGTTGAACTTATCTTCTCAATGAGCAGTTTTGAATCTCTGTTTTTGTAGATTCTGCAAGTGGATATTTAGAGCCCTTTGTGCCCTATCATGGAAAAGGAATTATCTTCAAATAGAACTACACAGAACCATCCAGAGAAACTTCTTTCTGATGTATGCATTCAACTCACAGAGTTGAACCTATCTTTTGATTGAGCAGTTTTGAATACCTCTTTTTGCAGAATCTGTAGGTGGATATTTGGAGCCTTTTGAGGCCTGCTGTGGAAAATCAAATATGTTCACATAAAAACTATACAGAAAGATTCTGAGAAACTTCTTTGTGATGTGTGCATTCAACTCAGAGAGTTGAACCTATCTTTTGATTAAGCAGTTTTGAATCTCTCTTTTTGTAGAATCTGCAAGTGGATATTAGGAGCCCTTTGTGCCCTATGGTGGAAAAGGAAATATCTTCAAATAAAAACTACATAGAAGCATTCAGAGAAACTGCTTTGTGATGTGTGCATTCAACTCACAGAGGTGAACTTATCTTTTGTTTGAGCAGTTTTGAATCTCTCTTTATGCAGAATCTGCAGGTGGATATTTGGAGACCATCGAGGCCTACTGTGGAAAAGGAAATAACTTCAAATAAAAACTATACAGAAGCATTCTCAGAAACTTCTTCATGATGTATGCATTCAACTCACAGAGTTGAACCTATCTTTTGATTGAACAGTTTTGAATCTCTCTTTTTGCACAATCTGCAAGTGGATGTTTGGAGCGTCGTGAGGCCTACTGTGGAAAATCAAATATGTTCACATAAAAACTAAACAGAAGCATTCTGAGAAACTTCTTTGTGATGTGTGCATTCAACTCACAGAGTTGAACCTATCTTTCGATTGAGCAGTTTTGAATCTCTCTTTTTTCAGGATCTGTAAGTGGATGTTTGGAGAGCTTTGAGGACTATTGTGGAAAAGGAAATATCTTCACATAAAAACTACACAGAATCATTCTGAGAAACTTCTTTGTGAGGTGTGCATTCAACTCACAGAGTTGATCTTATCTTATCATTGAGCAGTTTTGAATCTCTCTTTTTGTAGAATCTGCAAGTGGATATTTGGAGCCCTTTCAGCCCTGCAGTGGAAAAGGAAATATCTTGAAATAAAAACTACACAGAAGCATTCAGACACACTTCTTTGTGATGTGTGCATTCAACTCACAGAGTCGAAAGTATCTTTTGATTGAGCAGTTTTGAATCTCTCTTTTTGCAGAATCTGCAGGTGGATATTTGGAGCCCTTTGAGGTCTACTGTGGAAAAGCAAATATCCTCACATGAAAATTACACAGAAGCATTCTGAGAAACTACTTCGTGACGTGTGAATTCATCTCACAGGGATGAGTTTATCTCATGATTGAGCAGTTTTGAAACACTCTTTTTGTAGAATATGGAAGTGGATATTTGTACCGCTTTGAGGCCTTCGTTGGAAATGGGAACATCTTCACATAAACACTCGACAGAAGCATTCTCAGAAACTTCTTTGTGATGTGTGCATTCAACTCACAGAGTTGAACGTTTATTAGATAGAGCACGTTTGAAACACTCATTTTGTAGAATCTGCAAGTGGACATTTGGAGAGCTTTGAGGACTATGGTGGGAAAGGAAATATCTTCATATCAAAACTAGACAGAAGCATACTCAGAAACTTCTTTATGATGTTTGCATTAAACTCACAGAGTTGAACTTTCATTTTCATAGACCAGTTTTGAAACACTCTTTTCATAGTATCTGCAAGTGGATATTTGGACTGCTTTGAGGACTTCATTGGAAACGGGTATAACTTCACATAAACATTAGACAGAAGCATTCTCAGAAACTTCTTTGTGATGTGTGCATTCAAGTCACAGAGTTGAACATACCTTATCATAGAGTAGTTCTGAAACCCTCTTTTAGTGGAATCTGCAAGTGGATATTTGGACTGCATTGAGGCCTTCTTTGAAAATGGGAGTATCTTCACATAAACACTAGACAGAAGCATTCTGAGAAACTTCTTTGTGATGTGTGCATTCAACTCACAGAGTTGAACTTTTCTTTTGATAGAGCAGGTTTGAAACACTCTTTTTGTAGAACCTGCAAGTGGACATTTGGAGAGATTTGAGGCCTATGGTGGAAAAGGAAATATCTTCCAATAAAAAATAGAAGGATTCTCAGAAACTTCTTTGTGATGTTTGCGTTTGCCTTACAGAGTTGAACACACTTTATCATAGAGCAGTTTTGAAACACTCTTTGAGTAGAATCAGCAAGTGGATATTTGGACCCCTTTGAGGCCTTCGTTGGAAACGGGAATATCTTCACATAAAAACTAGACAGAAGCATTCTCAGGAACTTCTTTGTGATGTGTGCATTCAACTCACAGAGTTGAACCTTTCTTTTGATAGACCAGGTTTGAAACACTCTTTTTGTAGAATTTGCAAGTGGATATTTGGAGAGCTTTGTGGCCTACCGTGGAAAAGGAAATATCATCAAATAAAAACTAGACAGAAGCATTCTCAGAGACTTGTTCGTGATCTTTGCATTCAACTCACAGAGTTGAACATACCTTATAATAGAACAGTTTTGAAAGACTCTTTTACTAGAATTTGCAAGAGGATATTTGGAGTGTTTTGAGACCAACATTGGAAACGGGAATATCTTCACATAAACACTAGACAGAAGCATTCTCAGAAAGTTCTTTGTGATGTGTGCATTCAACTCACAGAGTTGAACGTTGCTTTTGATGGAGCAGTTTTGACAAACTCTTTTTGTAAAATCTGCAATTGGATATTTGGAGAGCTTTGAGGCCTATGGTCAAAAAGGAAATATCTTCACATAAAAGCTACAGAGAAGCATTCTCAGAAACTTCTTGGTGATGTGTGCTTTCAACTCACAGAATTGAACCTTGCTTTTGATAGAGGAGGTTTGAAACACTCTTTTTGTGGAATCTGCAAGTGGATATTTGGACCACTTTGAGGCCTTCATTGGAAATGGGAATATCTTCACATAATCACTAGACAGAAGCTTTCTCAGAAACTTCTTTGTGCTGTGTGCATTCAGCTCAGAGAGTAGAACCTTTCTTTTGATAGAGCAGGTTTGAAACACTTTTTTCATAGAATCTGCATGTGGATATTTGGACCGCTTTGAGGCCTTCGTTGGAAACGAGAGTATTTTCACTTAAACACTAGACAGAAGCATTCTCAGAAACTAATTTGTGATGTGTGCATTCAACTCACAGAGTTCAACCTTCCTTTAGATAAAGCACGTTTGAAACACTCATTTTGTAGAATCTGGAAGTGGACGTTTGAAGAAATTTGAGGCCTACGGTGGGAAAGGAAATGTCATCACATAAAAACTAGACAGAAGCATTCTCAGAAACGTCTTTGAGATGTGTGCATTCAACTCACAGAGGTGTACCTTCCTTTTCATAGAGCATTTTTTAAACACACTTTTCGTAGATTCTGCAAGTGGATATTTGGACCGCTTTGAGGCCTTCGTTAGAAACGGGAATATCTTCACATAAAAACTAGACAGAAGCATTTCAGAAACTTCTTTGTGATGTGTGCATTCAACTCACAGAGTTGAAACTTTCTTTTGCTGGAGAAGGTGTTAAACACTGTTTTTGTGGAATATAAAAGTGGACATTTGGTGCGCTTTGAGGCCTATGGTGGAAAAGGAAATATCTTCACATAAAAAATAGACAGAATCATTCTCAGAATCTTGTTTTTGATGGATGCATTCAATTCACAGAGTTGAACATGCTTTATTATAGAGCAGTTTTGAAACACTCTTTTGTAGAATCTGCAAGTGGATATTTGGACCACTTTAAGGCCTTCTTTGGAAAGGGGTATATCTTCACATAAACACTAGACAGAAGCATTCTCAGAAACTTCTTCGTACTGTGTGCATTCAACTCGGTGAGTTGAACCTTTCTTTTGATAGAGCAGTTTTGAAACACTCTTTTTGAAGAATCTGCATGTGGATATTTGGACGGCTTTGAGACCTTCTTTGGAAACTGTAATATCTTGACATAAACACTAGACAGAAGCATTCTCAGAAACTTCTTTCGGATGTGTGCATTCAACTCGCAAATTTGAACGTACCTTATCATGGAGCAGTTTTGAAACTCTCTTTTAGTGGAATCTGCAAGTGGATATTTGGACCGCTTTGAGGTCTTCGTTGGAAACAGGAATATCTTCACATAAACACTAGACAGAAGCATTCTCAGAAATTTCTTATTGATGTGTGCATTCAACTCACAGAGTTGATCTTTTCTTTTGACAGAGCAGGTTTGAAACACTCTTTTTGTAGATTCTGCAAGTGGACATTTGGAGAGATTTGAGGCCTGTGGTGGAAAAGGAAATATCTTCATATAAAAACTAGACAGAAAAACTCTCCAAAACATCTTTGTGATGTTTGCATTCAATTCACAGAGTTGAACATATCTTTTCATAGAGCAGTTTTGAAACACTCTTTTCATAGAATCTGCAAGTGGATATTTGGAATGCTTTGAGGCTTACGTGGGAAACGGAAATATCTTCACATAGAAACTAGACAGAAGCATTCTCAGAAACTTCTTTGTAATGTGTGCGTTCAACTCACAGAGTTGAAACTTTCTTTATATAGAGCAGGTTTGAAACACTCTTTTTGTAGAATCTGCAAGTGGACATTTGCAGCACTTTGATTCCTATCGTGGAAAAGGTAATATCATCACATAAAGACTAGACTGTAGCTTTCTCAGAAACTTCTTTGTGATGTTTGCATTCAACTCACAGAGTTGAAAATACCTCTTCATAGCGCAATTTAGAAACTCTCTTTTTGTAGAATGTGCAAGTTGATATTTGGAACTCTGTGAGGCCTTCGTTGGAAACCGGGAATAACTTCACATAAAAACTAGACAGAAGCATTCTCACAAACTTCTTTCTGATGTGTGCATTAAACTCACAGATTTGGACCTTGCTTTTGATAGAACAGATTTGAAACACTCTTTTTTTAGAATCTGCACGTGGGCATTTGGAGCACTTTGAGGCCTATGGTGGAAAAGGAAATATCTTCACATAAAAACTACACAGAAGCATTCTCAGAAACTTCTTCGTGATGTGTGCATTCACCTCAGAGAGTTGAACGTTTCTTTGGATAGAGCAGTTTTGAAACACTCTTTTTGTAAAATCTGCAAGTGGATAGATGGAATGCTTTGCGGCCTTCGTTGGAAACGGGAGTATCTTCACATAATCACTAGACAGAAGCTTTCTCAGAAACTTTTTTGTGCTGTGACATTCAAGTAAGGGAGTTGAACCTTTATTTTGAAAGAGCAGGTTTGAAACACTCTTTTTGTGGAGTCTGCAAGTGGACATTTGGAGAGTTTTGAGGCCTATGGTGGAAAAGGAAATATCTTCACGTAAAAACTACACAGAAGCATTCTCAGAAACTTCTTTGTGATATTTGTATTCAACTCACAGAGTTGAACTTTCTTTGATAGAGCAGTTTTGAACCAATCTTTTTGAAGAAACTGCAAATGGATATTAGGACAGCTTTGAGGCCTTCATTGAAAACGGGAATGTCTTTACATAAACACTAGACAGAAGCATTCCCAGAAACTTCTCTGTGATGTGTGTATTCAATTCACAGAGTTGAACCTTTCTTTTGATAGAGCAGGTTTGAAACAATCTTTTTGGAGGATCTGAAGTGAACTTTTGGAGAGCTTTGAGGCCTATGGTGGAAAAGGAAGTATCTTTATATAAAAAGCAGGCAGAAGAATTCTCATAAAATTCTTTGTGATCGTGCATTCAACTCACAGATTCGAACATACATTTTGATAGAGCAGTTTTGAAACACTCTTTTAGTAGAATCTGCATGTGGATATTTTTACCGCTTTGAGGCCTTCGTTGGAAACGGGAATATCTTCACATAAAAAATAGAAGCATTCTCGGAAACTTCTTTTGATGTTTGTTTTCAACTCACAGATTTCAACGTACCTTATCATAGAGTAGCTTTGAAACACTCTTTTAGCAGAATCTGCACGTGCATATTTGGAGAGCTTTGAGGCTTGTCGTGGAAAAGGAAATATCATCATATAAAAACTAGACAGAAGAATGCTCAGAAACATCTTTGTGATGTTTGCATTCAACTCAAAGAGTTGAACATACCTTTTAATAAAGCAGTTTTGGAACACTCTTCGTGGAATCTGCAAGTGGATATTTGGAATGCTTTGAGGCCTTCATTGGAAACGGGAATATCTTCACATAAAAACTAGACAGAAGTATTCTCAGAAAATTCTTTAGGGTGGTTGCATTCAACACACAGAGTTGAACATACCTTGTCCTAGAGCAGTTTTGAAACACTCTTTTTGTAGAATCTGCAAGTGGATATTTGGACCGCTTTGAGGCTTTCGTTGGAAACGGGAATATCTTCACATAAACAGTAGACAGAAGGATTCTCAGACTCTTCTTTGTAATGTGTGCTTTCAACTCACAGAGTTTAACCATTCTTTTGATAGAGCAGGTTTGAAACACTCTTTTTGTAGGATCTGCAATTCGACATTTTGAGAGCTTTGAAGCCTACGGTTCAAAAGGAAATATCATCACATAAAAAGTAGACAGAAGCATTCTCAGAAACTACATTGTGATGTTTGCATTCAACACACAGAGTTGAACATAACTTTTCATGGAGCAGTTTTGAAACACTCTTTATGTAGAAGCTGCAAGTGGATATTTGGATAGCTTTCAGGACTTCGTTGGAAACGGGAATATCTTCACATAAAAACTAGAGAGAAGCATTCTCAGAAACTAGTTTGTGAGGTTTGCATTCAACTCACAGAGTTGAACATACTTTATCATAGAGCAGTTTTGAAACACTCTTGTAGTAGAAGCTGCAAGCGGATATTTGGACCGCTTTGAGGTCTTCGTTGGAAACGGCATTATCTTCACATAATCACTAGACAGATGCTTTCTCAAAAACTTCTTTGTACTGGGTGCATTCAACTCACAGAGTTAACCTTATTTCATCGAGCAGGTATGAAACACTCTTTTTGTAGAATCTGCAATTGGACATTTGGAGAGCTTTGAGGCCTATGGTGGAAAAGGAAATATCTTCACACAAAAACTAGACAGAAGCATTCTCAGAAACGTCTTTGTGGTGTTTGCATTCAACTCACAAAGTTGAAGATACCTTTCCATGGAGCAGTTTTGAGACACTCTTTTTGTAGAATCTGCAAGTGGATATTTGGACCGCTATGAGGCCTTCGTTAGAAATGGAAATATCTTCTCATAAACACTAGACAGAAGCATTCTCAAAAACTTCTTTGTCATGCGTGCATTCAACTCACCGAGTTGAACATACTTTGTCATAGAGCAGTTTTGAAGCACTCTTTTAGTAGAATCTGCAAGTGGATATTTGGACCGCTTTGAGGCCTTCATTGGAAACGGGAATATCTTCACATAAAAACTAGACAGATGCATTCTCAGAAACTTCTTTGTGATGTGTGTATTCAACATAAAGATTTGAACCTTTCTTTTAATAGAGCAGGTTTGAAACACTCTTTTTGTAGAATCTGCAAGTGGACATTTGGAGAGCTTTGAGGCCTATGGTGGAAAAGGAATTATTTTCTCATAAAAACTAGACAGAAGCATTCTCAGAAACAACTTTGTGATGTGTTCATTCAACACAAAGAGTTGAAGGTTTCTTTTGATATAGCAGGTTTGAAATACTCTTTTTGTAGAATCTGCAAATGGACATTTGGAGAGCTTTGAGGCCTATGGTGGAAAAGGAAATATCTTCACACAAAAACTAGACAGAAGCATTCTCAGAAACGTCTTTGTGGTGTTTGCATTCAACTCACAAAGTTGAAGATACCTTTCCATGGAGCAGTTTTGAGACACTCTTTTTGTAGAATCTGCAAGTGGATAATTGGACTGCTATGAGGCCTTCTTTAGAAATGGAAATATCTTCTCATAAACACTAGACAGAAGCATTCTCAAAAACTTCTTTGTCATGCGTGCATTAAACTCAAAGAGTTGAACCTTTCTTTTGATAGAGTAGCTTTGAAATACTCTTTTAGTAGAATCTGCAAGTGGACATCTGGAGAGCTTTGAGGCCTATGGTGTAAAAGGTTATATCTTCATATAAAAATTAGAGAGAAGAATTCTCAGAAACTTCTTTGTGATGTTTGCATTCAACTCAGAGTTGAACGTACCTTTTCATAGAACAGTTTTGAAACACTCTTTTCCTAGATTCTGCAAGTGGATATTTGGAACGCTTTGAGGCCTTCGTTGGAAACGGGATTATGTTCACACAAAAACGGGCAGAAGCATTCTCAGAAACATCTTTGTGATGTGTGCATTCAACTCAAAGAGTTGAAACTTTCTTTTGATAGAGCATGTTTGAAACACTCTTTTTGTAGAATCGGCACCGGACATTTTTAGAGCTATGAGGCCTATGGTGGAAAAGGAAATATCTTTAAATAAAAACCAGACAGAAGAATTCTAAGGAACTACATTGTGATGTTTGCATTCAACTCATACAGTTGAACATACCTTTTGATAGAGCAGTGTTGAAACACTCTTTTTGTAGAATCTGCAAGTGAATATTTGGACCGCTTTGAGGCCTTCATTGGAAACGGGAATATCTTCACATAATCACTAGATAGAAGCTTTCTCAAAAACTTTTTTGTACTGTGTGCATTCAACTCACGGAGTTGTACCTTTCTTTTGATGGAGCAGGTTTGAAACACTCTTTTTCCAGAATCTACAAGTGGACATTTGGAGTGCTTTGAGGCCTATGGTGGAAAAGGAAATATCTTCCCATAAAAACCAGACAGAAGCATTCTCAGAAAGTTCTTATGATGTGTGCATTCAATTTACAGAGTTGAACATACCTTATCATAGAGCACTTTTGAAACACTCTTTTAGTAGAATCTGAGAGTGGATATTTGCACTGCTTTGAGGCCTTCCTTGGCAACGGGATTATCTTCACATAAACACTAGACAGAAGCATTCTCAACAACTCCTTTGTGATGTGTGCATTCAACTCACAGAGTTGAACCTTTCTTTTCATAGAGCAGGTTTGAAACCGTCTTTTTGCAGAATCTTCAAGTGGACATATGGCAAGCTTTGAGGCCTATGATGGAAAAGGAAATATCATTATATAAAAACCAGACAGAATAATTCTTAGGAACTACTTTGTGATGTTTGCTTTCAAATCACAGGGTTGAACATACCTCTTCATAGAGCAGTTTTGAAGCACTCTTTTTGCAGAATCTGCAAGTGGATATTTGGAATGCTTTGAAGCCTTCGTTGGAAACGGGAATATCTTCAAATAAACACTAGATAGAAGCATTTCAGAAACTTCTTTGTGATGTGTGCATTCAACTCACAGAGTTGAAGCTTTCTTTTGATAGAGCAGGTTTGAAACACTCTTTTTGTAGAATCTGCAAGTGGATATTTGAACAACTTTGAGGCCTTCATTGGAAAAGGAGATATCTTCACATAAACACTAGACAGAATCGTTCTCAGAAACTTCTTTGTGATGTGTGCATTCCACTCACAGAATTGAACCTTTCTTTTGATAGAGCAGGTTTGAAACACTTTTTTTGTAGAATCTGCAAGTTGACTGTTGGAGAGCTTTGAGGCCTATGGTGGAAAAGGAAATATCTATAAATAAAAACTAGACAGAAGCATTCTCAGAAACTTCTCTGTGATGTTTGCATTCAACTCACAGAGTTAAACCTCCCTTTTCATAGAGCAATTTTGAAACACTCTTCTCTTATAATCTGCAAGTGGATATTTGGACTGTTTGAGGCCTTCGTTGGAAACAGGAATATCTTCACATAAAAACTAGACAGAAGCATTCTCAGAAACTACTTTTGATGTATGCATTCACCTCACAGAGTTGAACCTTTCTTTTCATAGAGCAGGGTTGAAACACTCTTTTTGCAGGATCTGCAAGTGGATATTTGGAGCTCTTTGAGGCCTATGGTGAAAAAGGATATATCTTCACATAAAAACTAGACGGAAGCATTCTCATAAACTTATTTGTGATGTGTGCATTCAACTCACAGAGTTGAACCTTTCTTTTGATAGAGCAGGTTTGAAACATTCATTTTGTAGAATCTGAAGTGCACATTTGGAGAGCTTTGAGGCCTATGGTGGAAAAGGAAGTATCTTCACATAAAAACTAGAGAGAAGCGTTCTCAGAAACTTCTTTGTGGTGTGTGCATTCAACTCACAGAGTTGAACCTCTCTTTTCATAGAGCAGGTTTGAAACATTCTTTTCTTAGTATCTGCAAGTGGATATTTGGAGAGCTTTGAGTCCTATGGTGGAAAAGGAAATATCTTCACACAAAAATTAGACAGAAGCGTTCTCAGAAACGTCTTTGTGATGTTTGCATTCAACTCACAGAGTTGAAGATACCTTTCCTTGGAGCAGTTTTTAGACACTCTTTTTATAGAATCTGCAAGCGGATATTTGGACCGCTATGAGGCCTTCGTTGGAAACGGGAATGTCTTCACATAAACACTAGACAGAAGCATTCTCAAAAACTTCTTTTTCAGGTGTGCATTAAACTCAAAGAGTTGAACCTTTCTTTTCATAGAGCAGCTTTGAAACACTCTTTTTGTAGAATCTGCAAGTTGACATTTGGAGAGCTTTGAGGCCTATGGTGGAAAAGGTTATATCTTCATATAAAAATAAGAGAGAAGAATTCTCAGAAAATTCTTTACGATGTTTGCATTCAACTCACAGATTTGAAGATACCTTTTCATAGAGCAGTTTTGAAACACTCTTTTTGTAGAATATGCAAGTGGATATTTGAAACGCTTTGAGGCCTTTGTTGGAAACGGGAATATGTTCACACAAAAACAGGCAGAAGCATTCTCAGAAACTTCTTTGTGATGTGTGCATTCAACCCCAAGAGTTGAAACTTTCTTTTCATAGAGCATGTTTGAAACACTCTTTTTGTAGAATCTGCAAGTGGACATTTGGAGAGCATTGAGGCCTATCGTGGAAAAGTAAATATCTCACATATAAACTAGAGAGAAGCATTCTCAGAAACTACTTTGTGATGTGTGCATTCTACTCACAGAGTTGTACCTTTCTTTTGATAGAGCAGTTTTGAAACACTCTTTTTGTAGAATCTGCAAGTGAACATTTGGACCGCTTTGAGGCCTTTGTTGGAAACGGGAATATCTTCACATAATCACTAGACAGAAGCTTTCTCAAAAACTTTTTTGAACTGTGTGCATTCAACTGACAGATTTGAACTTTTCTTTTGATAGAGCAGGTTTGAAACACTCTTTTTCTAGAATCTGCAAGTGGACATTTGGAGCGCTTTGAGGCCTATGGTGGAAAAGGAAATATCTTCCCATTAAAAACTAGACAGAGGCATTCTCAGAAACTTCTTATGATGTGTGCATTCAAATCACAAGGTTGGACATACCTTATCATAGAGTACTTTTGAAACACTCTTTTTGTAGAATCTGCAAGTGGATATTTGCACTGCTTTGAGGCCTTCATTGGCAACGGGATTATCTTCACATAAACACTAGACAGAAGCATTCTCAGGAACTTCTTTGTGATGTGTGCATTCAACTAACAGAGTTGAGCCTTTCTTTTCATAGAGCAGGTTTGAAGCCCTCTTTTTGTAGAATCTTCAAGTGGACAAATGGCGAGCTTTGAGGCCTATGGTGGAAAAGGAAATATCATTATATAAAAACAAGACAGAAGAATTCTCAGGAACTACTTTGTGATGTTTGCTTTAAAATCACAGGGTTGAACATACCTCTTCATAGAGCAGTTTTGAAGCACTCTTTTTGCAGAATCTGCAAGTGGATATTTGGAACGCTTTGAAGCCTTCATTGGAAACGGGAATATCTTCAAATAAACACTAGATAGAAGCATTCTCAGAAACTTCTTTGTGATGTGTGCGTTCAACTCACAGAGTTGAAGCTTTCCTTTAATAAAGCAGGTTTGAAACACTCTTTTTGTAGAATCTGCAAGTGGATATTTGAACCACTTTGAGGCCTTCGTTGGAAAAGGGGATATCTTCACATAAACACTAGACAGAATCATTCTCAGAAACTTCTTTGTGATGTGTTCATTTCACTCACAGAATTGAACCTTTCTTTTGATAGAGCAGGTTTGAAGCACTTTTTTTGTAGAATCTGCAAGCAGACATTTGGAGAGCTTGGAGGCCTATGGTGGAAAAGGAAATATCTATAAATAAAAACTAGACAGAAGCATTGTCAGAAACTTCTTTGTGATGTTTGCATTCAACTCACAGAGTTGAACCTCCCTTTTCATAGAGTAGTTTTGAAACACTATTTTCGTAGAATCTGCAAGTGGATATTTGGACCACTTTGAGGCCTTCGTTGGAAACGGGAATATCTTCACATAAAAACTAGACAGAAGCATTCTCAGAAACTACTTTGTGATGTGTCCATTCAACTCACAGAGTTGAACCTTCCTTTTCGTAGAGCAGGGTTGAAACACTCTTTTTGCAGGATCCGCAAGTGGACATTTGGAGCTCTTTTTGGCATATGGTGGAAAAGGATATATCCTCACATAAAAACTAGACAGAAGCATTCTCATAAACTTATTTGTGACGTTTGCATTCACCTCTCAGAGTCTAACATACTTTATCATAGAGCAGTTTTGAAACACTCTTTTAGTAGTATCTGCAAGTGGATAATTGGAGGGCTTTGAGTTCATTGGAAACGGGAGTATCTTTACATAATGATGCTTTCTCAGAAATTTCTTTGTGCTGTGTGTATTCAACTCACAGAGTTGAACCTTTCTTTTTATAGAGCAGGTTTGAAACACTCTTTTGCGGAATCTACAAGTGGACATTAGGAGCGCTTTGTGGCCTATGGAGGAAAAGGAAATATCTTCACATAAAAACTAGACAGAAGCATTCTCATAAACTTATTTGTGACGTTTGCATTCAACTCTCAGAGTTTAACATACTTTATCATAGATCAGTTTTGAAACACTCTTTTAGTAGTATCTGCAAGTGTATAATTGGACGGCTTTGAGGCTTTCGTTGGAAACGGGAGTATCTTCACACAATGAAGCTTTCTCAAAAACGTCTTTGTGCTGTGTGCATTCAACTCACAGATTTGAAATTTTCTTTTGATGGAGCAGATTTGAAACACTCTTTTTGTAGAATTTGCAAGTGGATATTTGGACAGCTTTGAGGCCTTCCCTGGAAACGGGAGTTTCTTCACATAAAAACTAGACAGAAGCATTCTAGGAAAATTCATTTTGATGTGTGCATTCAACTCAGAGAGTTGACCCTTCTATTGATAGAGCAGGTTTAATACTCTTTTTGCAGAATCTGCAAGTGGACATTATGAGCGATTTGATGTCTATGGTGGAAAAGGAAATATCTTCACATTAAAACTAAACAGCAGCATTCTCAGAAACTTCTTTGTGATGTTTGCCTTCAATTCTCAGAGTTGAACATACTTTATCCTAGAGCAGTTTTGAAACACTCTTTTAGTAGTATCTCCAAGTGGTTATTTGGGCCACTTTGAGGACATCATTGGAAACGGGAGTACCTTCACATGATCACGACACAGAAGTTTTCTCAGAAACTTCCTTTGGCTGTGTGCATTCACCTCACATATTTGAATATTTCTTTGATAGAGCAGGTTTGAAACTCTCTTTTTGTAGAATCTGCAAGTTGACATTTGGAGCGCTTTGAGGCCTATGGTGGAAAAGGAAATATCTTCGTATAAAAACTAGACAGAAGCATTCTCAGAAACTTCTTTTTGATATGTGTACTCAACTCACAGAGTTAAACTTTGTTTTGATGGAGCAGTTTTGAAACACTCTTCTTGTAGAATTTTCAAGCTGGATATTTGGACAGCTTTGAGGCTTTCGCTGGAAACGGGAATATCCTCACATAAAAGCCAGACAGAAGCATTCACAGAAACTTCTTTGTGATTTGCGCATTCAACTCAAAGAGTTGAATCTTTACTTTGTTAGAGCAGCTTTGAAACACTCTTTTTGCAGAATTTACAAGTGGATATTTGGACAGCTTTGAAGCCTTCGCTGGAAACGCGAGTAGCTTCACATAAAAACTAGACAGAAGCATTCTCAGAAATTTCTTTGTGATGTTTCCATTCAACTCACAGAGTTGAACATGCCTTTTCATAGAGCAGTTTTGAAACACACCGTTTGTAGAATCTGCAACTGGATATTTGGAGCTCTTTGAGGCCTATGGTGAAAAAGGAAATATCTTCACATAAAAACTAGAGAGAAGCATTCTCAGAAACTTCTTTGTGATGAGTGTATTCAACTCCCAGAGTTGAACCACTCATTTGATAGAGCAGTTTTGAAACACTATTTTTGTAGAATTTGCAAGTGGATATTAGACAGCTTTGAGGCTTTCATTGGAAACGGGATTGTCTTCATGTGAAAAATAGAAGCATTCTCAGAATCTTCTTTGTGATGTGTGCATTCAACCCACAGTGTTGAAACTCTATTTTGATATAGCAGATTGGAAACACTCTTTTTGTAGAATTTGCAAGTGGATATTTGAACAGCTTTGAGGCCTTCACTGGAAACGGGATTATCTCCACATAAAAACCAGACAGAAACATTCTCAGAAACTTCTTTGTAATGTGTGTACTCAACTTAGAAAGGTAAACCTTTCCTTTGATAGAGCAGTTTTGAAACACTATTCTTGTAGAATTTACAGGTGGATATTAGGACAGCTTTGAGGCTTTCATTGGAAACGGGAATATCTTCACATTAAAACCAGACAGAAGCATTCTCAGAAACTTCTTTGTGATGTGTGCATTCAACTCACAGAGTTGAAATTTCCTTTGATAAAGCAGCTTTGAAACACTCTTTTTAAAGAATTTGCAAGTGGATATTTGGACAGCTTTGAAGCCTTCGCTGGAAACGGGGGTATCTTCACATAAAAACTAGACAAAGCATTCTCAGAAACTTCTTTGTGATGTTTGCATTCAACTAACAGGGTTGAATATTCCTTTTCATAGAGAAGTTTGAAAAAATCTTTTTGTAGTATGTGCAAGTAGACATTTGGAGCGCTTGAGGCCTATGGTGAAAAAGGAAATATTTTCACATAAAAACTAGACAGAAGCATTCTCAGAAACTTCTTTGTGATGTGTGTACTCCACTCACAGTGTTAAACCTTTCTTTTGATAGAGCAGTTTTGAAACACTCTTCTTGTAGAATTTACAAGTGGATATTTGGACAGCTTTGTGGCTTTCGTTGGAAATGGGAATATCTTCAAATAAAAACCAGACAGAAGCTTTCACAGAAACTTCTTTGTGATTTGTGCGTTCAACTCACTGAGTTGAAACTTTCCTTTGATAGAGCAGGTTTGAAACACTCTTTTTGTAGAATTTTCAAGGGGATATTTGGACAGCTTTGAAGCCTTCGCTGGAAATGGGAGTATCTTCACATAAAACTAGACAGAAGCATTCTAGGAAACTTCTTTTTGATGTTTGCATTCAACTCACAGAGTTGAACGTTCCTTTTCATAGAGCAGTTTTGCAACACTCTTTTTGTAATATCTGCAAGTGGAGACTTGGAGTGCTTTGAGGCCTTAGAAACAGGAATATCTTCACATAAAAACTAGACAGAAGCATTCTCAAAAACTTCTTTTTGATGTGTGTACTCAACTCACAGAGTTGAACTTTTCTTTTGATAGAGAAGTTTTGAAACACTCTCTTTGTAGAATCTGTTAACGGATATTTGGACAGCTTTGAGGCTTTCGTTGGAAACGGGAATATCTTCACATAAAAACTACACAGAAGCATTCACAGAAACTTCTTTGTGATGTTTGCATTCAACTCACAGAGTTGACGATTCCTTTTCATAGAGCAGTTTTGATGCACTCTTTTTGTAGTATCTGCAAGTGGATATTTGGAGCACTTTGAGGCCTATTTTGGAAAATGAAATATTTTCACATAAAAACTAGACAGAGGCATTCTCAGAAACTTCTTTGTGATGTGTGTACTCCACTCACAGAGTAGAACCTTTCTTTGTATAGAGCAGTTTTGAAACACTCTCCTTGTAGAATCTGCAAATGGATATTTGGACAGTTTTGAGGCTTTTGTTGGAAACTGGAATATCATCACATAGAAACTAGACAGAAGCATTCTCAGAAACTTTTGTGATGTTTGCATTCAACTCACAGATTTGAACATTCCTCTTCATACATCAGTTTTGAAACACTCTTTTTGTAGTATCTGCAAGTGGACATTTGGAGCGCTTTGAGGCCTATGGTGAAAAAGGAAATGTCTTCACATAAAAACTAGACAGAAGCATTCTCAGGAACTTCTTTGTGATGTGTGCATTCAACTCACAGGGTTGAACAATCTTTTTCATACAGCAGTTTTGAATCTCTCTTTTTGTAGAATCTCCAATGGACATTTGGAATGCTTTGGGGCCTTCATTCGAAACGGGAATATCTTCCCATAAAAACTAGACAGAAGCTTTATCAGAAACTACTTTGGGATATGTGCTTTCAACTCCCATAGTTGAACCCTTCTTTTGATAGAGCAGTTTTGAAACACTCTCATTGGAGAATCTGCAAGTGGACATCTGGTGTGCTTTGAGGCCTATGGAGAAAAAGGAATTATCTTAACATAAAAACTAGACAGAAGCATTCTCAGAAACTTCTTTTTGATGTGTGTACTCAACTGACTCAGTTAAACCTTTCTTTTGATAGAGCAGTTTTGAAACACTCTTCTTGTAGAATTTATAAGTGGATATTAGGACAGCTTTGACACTTTTGTTGGAAACGGGAATGTCTTCACATAAAAACCAGACAGAAGAATTATCAGGAACATCTTTGTTTTATGCGCATTCATCTCACAGAGTTGAAACTTTCTTTTGATAGAGCAGCTTTGAAACAAACTTTTTGTAAAATTTGCAAGTGGATATTTGGACAGCTTTGAAGCCTTCGCTGGAAACGGGAGTATCTTCACATAAAAACTAGACGGAAGGATACTCAGAAACTTCCTTGCGAGGTTTGCATTCAACTCAAAGAGTTGAACATTCCTTTGCATAGAGCTGTTTTGAAACACTCTTTTTGTAGAATCTGCAAGTGGACATTTGGAGTGACTTGAGGCCTGTGGTGAAAAATGAAATATCTTCGCATAAAAACTAGACAGAATCATTCTCAGACACTTCTTTGTGATGTGTGTACTCAACTCACAGAGTTGAACATTTCTTTTGATAGAACAGTTTTGAAACACTCCCTTGTAGAATCTGCAGGTGTATATTTGGACAGCTTTGAGTCTTTCGTTGGAAACGGGAATATCTTCTCATAAAAACTAGACAGAAGCATTCTCAGAAACTTCTCTGTGATGTTTGTCTTCAACTCTCAGAGTTCATCATTCTTTTTCATAGAGCAGTTTTGAAACACTCTTTTTGTAGAATCTGCAAGTGGACCTTTGGAGAGCTTTGAGGCCTGTGGTAAAAAAGGAAATATCTTCACATGAAAACTAGACAGGAGCATTCTAAGAAACTTATTTGTCATGTGTACACTAAACTCACAGAGTTGAACTTTTCATTTGATAGAGCAGTTTTGAAACACTTTGTGAATCCTGCAAGTGGATATTTGGAGCGCTTTGAGGCATTCTTTGGAAACGGGAATATCTTCACATAAAAACTAGAAAGAAGCATTCTCAGAAACTTCTTTGTGAGGTTTGCATTCAACTCACAGAGTTGAACTTTTCTTTTGATAAAGCAGTTTTGAAACACTCTCTTTGTAGAATGTGCTGATGGATATTTGGACAGCTTTGAGGTTTTCGTTGGAAATGGGAATATCTTCACATAAAAACTAGACAGAAGCATTTTCAGAAACTTCTTTGCGATGTTTGCATTCAACTCACAGAGTTGAAGATTCCTTTTCATAGAGCAGTTTTTATACACTCTTTTTGTGGAATCTGTCTGAGGACATTTGGAGCGCTTTGAGGCCTAAGGTGAAAAAGGAAATATCTTCACATAAAAACTAGACAGAAGCATTCTCAGAAACTTCTTTGTGAAGTGTGCACTCAGCTCACAGAGTTAAAACTTTCTTTGATAGAGCAGTCTTGAAACACACTTCTTGTAGAATTTACAAGTGGATATTAGGACAGCTTTCAGGCTTCCGTTGGTAATCCTGAAGATATTCGCTGGAATATCTTCACATAAATTGTAGACAGAAGCATTCTCAGAAACATCTTTGTGATGTGTGCTGTTGGAACTTTCCTTTGATAGAGCAGCTTGAAACACTCTTTTTGTAGAATTTGCAAGTGGATATTGGGACAGCTTTGAAGTCTTCGCAGGAAACGGGTTTATCTTCACATAAAAACTAGACAGAATCATTCTCAGAAACTCCTTTGTGATGTTTGCGTTCAACTCACAGAGTTGAACATTCCTTTTCATAGAGCAGTTTTGAAAAACACTTTTTGTAGAATCTGCAAGTGGACATTTGCAGGGTTTTGGGGCCCACTGTGAATAAGGAAATGTGTTCACATTAAAACTAGATAGAAGCATTCTCAGAAACTTCTTTGTGATGTGTGTACTCAACACACAGATTTGAATCTTTGTTTTGACAGAGCAGTTTGAAACCCTTTTTTGTATAATCTGCAAGTGGATATTTGGATATCTTTGAGGCTTTCGTCGGAAACGGGAATATCTTCACATAAAAACTAGAGAGAAGCATTCTCAGAAACTTCTTTGTGAAGTTTGCCTTGAAATCACAGAGTTGAACATTCCTTTTCATAGAGCAGTTTTGAAACACTCTTTTTGTAAAATCTGAAGTGGACATTTGGAGCGCTTTGAAGCCTATTTTGGAAAATGAAATATTTTCACATAAAAACTAGACAGAGGCATTCTCAGAAACTTCTTTGTGATGTGTGTACTCCACTCACAGAGTAGAACCTTTCTTTGTATAGAGCAGTTTTGAAACACTCTCCTTGTAGAATCTGCAAATGGATATTTGGACAGCTTTGAGGCTTTGGTTGGAAACGGGAATATCTTCACCTAAAAACCAGACAGAAGCATTCTCAGAAACTTCTGTGTGATGTGCGCATTCAACTCACAGAGGTGAAACTTTCTACTGACAGAGCAGCTTTTAAATACTCTTTTTGTAGAATTTGCAAGTGGATATTTGGACAGCTTTCAAGACTTCACTGAAAACGGAAGTATCTTCAGGTAAAAGCTAGACAGAAGCATTCTCAGAAACTTCTTTGTGATCTTTGCATTAAACTCACGGAGTTGAACATTCCTTTTCATAGAGGAGTTTTGAAAAACTCTTTTTGTAGATTCTGCAAGTGGACATTTGGAGCGCTTTGAGGCCTATGTTGAAAAAGGAAATATCTTCCCATAAAAACTAGACAGAAGCATTCTCAGAAACTTCTTTGTGTTGTGTGTATTCAACTCACAGAGTTGAACCTTTATTTTGATAGAGCAGATTTGAAACACTCTTTTTGTAGAATGTGCAAGTGGATATTGGGATAGTTTTGAGGCTTTCGTTGGAAACGGGAATATCTTCACATAAAAACTAGACAGAAACACTCTCAGAAACTTCTTTCTGATGTGTGTCCTCAACTCACAGAGTTGAACACTTCTTTTGATCTAGAAGTTTTGAAACACTCTCTTTGTAGCATCTGCAAGTGGACATTTGGTGTGCATTGAGACGTATGGTGAAATAGGAAATATCTTAACATAAAAACTGGACAGAAGCATTCTCAAAGACTTCTTTGTGATGTTTGCATTTATCTCACAGATTTGAACATTCCTTTTGATTGAGCAGTTTTGAAACACTCTTTTTGTAGCATCTGCAAGTGGACATTCAGAGCGCTTGGAGGCCTATGGTGACAAAGGAAATATCTTCACATAAAAACTAGACAGAAGCATTCTCAGAAATTTCTTCATGATGTGTATACTCAACTCACAGAGATGAACCTTTCTTTTGCTGTAGCAGTTTTGAAACACTCTTTTTGCAGCATTTACAAGTGGATATTTGGACAGCTTCGAGGCTTTCCTTGGAAAAGGGAATATCTTCACATAAAAACTAGACCGAAGCATTTTCAGAAACTTCTTTGTGATGTGTATATTCAACTCAAAGAGTTGATACTTTCTTTTGATAGAGCAGATTTGAAACACTCTTTTTGTAGAAATTGCAAGTGGATATTTGGACAGCTTTGTCGCCTTCGCTGGAAACCGGGGTATCTTCACATAAAAACTAGACGGAAGTATTCTCAAAAACATCTTTGTGATGTTTACATTCAACTCACATAGTTGAACATTCCTTTCAATAGAGCAGTATTGAAACACTCTGTTTGTAGTATCTGCTAGTGGACATTTGGAGCACTTTTAGGCCTCTGGAGAAAAAGGAAATATCTTCACATAAAAACCAGACAGAATCATTATCAGAAACATCTTTGTGATGTGCGCACTCAACAAAAAGAGTTGAAAATTTTCTTTGATGGAGCGTTTTTAAACAGTCTTTTTGTAGAATCTGCAAGTGGACATTTGGAACGCTTTGAAGTCTTCGTTGGAAACGGGAATATCTTCACATAAAAACTGTACAGAATCATTCTCAGAAACCTCTTTGTGATGTGTGTACTCAACTCACAGAGTTGAATCTTTCTTTTGATAAAGCAGTTTTGAAACACTGTCTTTGTGGAAACTGCAAATGAATATTTGGACAGGTTTGAGGCTTTCATTGGAAACGGGAATATCTTCACATAAAAACTAGACAGAAGCATTCTCAAAAACTTGTTTGTGATGTGTGCACTCAACTCACAGAGTTGAACCTTTCTTTTCACAGAGCAGTTTTGAAACACTCTTTTTGTGGAATCTGCAAGTGGACATTTGGAGTGCTGTGTGGCCTTCATTGGAAACGGGAATAACTTCACAAAAAACTAGACAGAAGCATTCTCAGAAACTTCTTTGCGATGTTTGCATTCAACTCACAGAGTTGAAACTTTTATTTTGATAGAGCAGATTTGAAACACTGCTTTTGTGGAATTTGCAAGTGGATATTTCGACAACTTTGAGGCTTTCACTTGAATCGGGAGTATCTTCTCATAAAAACTAGACAGAAGATTTCTTGGAAACATCTTTCTGATGTTTGGATTAAACTCAAAGAGTTGAACATTCGTTTTCATAGAGTAGTTTTGAAACATTCTTTTTATAGTATCTGCAAGTCGACATTTGGAGCACTTTGAGTCCTATGGTGATAAAGAAAATATCTTCAAATAAAAATTAGACAGAAGCATTCTCAGAAACTTCTCTGTGATGTGTACATTCAACTCACAGAGTTGAAAATTCTTTTTCATAGAGCAGATTTGAAACACTCCTTTTGTAGAATCTGCAAGTGGACATTTGGAGCGCTCTGAGGCCTTCGCTCGAAATGGGAATATCGTTACATAAAAACTAGACAGAAGCATTATCAGAAACTTCTTTCTGATGTGTCCTTTCAACTCACAGATTTGAACTCTTCTTTTGATAGAGCAGTTTTGAAACACTCTCTTTGTAGAATCTGCAAGTGGACATTTGGTGTGTTTTTGGTTTATGGTGAAAAAGGAAATATCTTCACATAAAAACTAGACAGGATCATTCTCAGAAACTTCTTTGTGATGTGTGTACTCAACTCACAGAGCTGAACCTTTCTTTTGATAGAGCAGTTGTCAAACACTCTTTAAGTGGAATCTGCAAGTGGACACTTGGAGTGCTTTGTGACCTTCTTTGGAAACGGGAGTATCTTCACATGAAAACTATACAGAAGCATTGTCAGAAACTTCTTTGTGATGTGTGCATTTAACTCACAGAGTTGAACCCTTCTTTTGATAGAGCAGTTTTGAAACACTCTCTTTGTAGAATCTGCAAGTTGATATTTGGACAGCTTTGAGGCATTCATTGGAAACGGGAATATCTTCACATAAAATCTAGACAGAAGGATTCTCAGAAACTTCTTTGTGATGTTTTCATTCAATTCACAAAGTTGAACATTCCTTTTCATAGAGCAGTTTTGAAAAACTCTTTTCATATTATTTGCAAGTGGACATTTGGAGCGCTTTGAGGCCTACGGTGAAAAAGGAAATATCTTCACATAAAAACTAGATAGAAGCATTATCAGAAACTTCTTTGTGATCTGTGTACTCAACTCACAGAGTTAAACATTTCTTTTGATACATCAGTTTGAAACACTCTTCTTGTAGAATATACAAGTGGATATTAGGACCACGTGTGAAGCTTTCGATGGAAACGGGAATATCTTCACATAAAAACCAGACTGAAGGCATTCTCAGAAACTTCCTTGTGATGTGCTCATTCAACTCACAGAGTTGAAACTTTCTATTGATAAAGCAGCTTTGAAACACTCTTTTTGTAGAATTTGCAAGTGGATATTTCGAAAGCTTTGAAGCCTTCGCTGGACACGGGAGTATCTTCCCATAAAAACTAGACAGAAGCATTCTCAGAAACTTATTTGTGATGTTTGCATTCAACTCAGAGAGTTGAACATTCCTTTTCATTGAGCACTTTTGAAACACTCTTTTTGTAGTATCTGCAAGTGGACATTTGGACAGCTTTGTGGCCTATAGAGAAAATGGAAATATCTTCACATAAAAACTAGACAGAAGCATTCTCAGAAACATCTTTGTGATGTTTGCATTCAACTCAAAGAGTTGAACATTCCTTTTCATACAGCAGTTTTGAAAAACTCTTATTGTAGAATCTGCAAGTGGTCATCCTGAGTGCTTTGAGGCCTTCATTCGAAACGGGAATATCTTCACATAAAAAATAACAGAAGCATTCTCAGAAACTTCTTTGTGATGTGTGCATTTAACTCACAGATTTGAACCCTTCTTTTACAGAGCAGTTTTGACACACTCTTTTTGTGTAATCTGCAAGTGGACATTTGTTGTTCTTTGAGGCCTATGATGAAAAAGGAAATATCTTCACATAAAAACTAGACAAAAGCATTCTCAGAAACATCTTTGTGATATCTGAAGTCAACTCACAGAGTTGAAACTTTCTTTTGAGAGATCAGTTTTGAAACACTCTTTTTGTGGTATCTGCAAGTGGACACTTGGAGCGCTTAGTGGCCTTCGTTGGAAACGGGAATATCTTCCAATAAAAACTAGACAGAAGCATTCTCAGAAACTTCTTTGTGATATGTGCGTTCAACAACCAGAGTTGAACTTTTCTTCTGATAGAGCAGATTGGAAACACTCATTTCGTAGAATTTGCAAGTGGATGTTTGGACAGCTTTGAGGCCTTCAATGGAAACGGGAATATTTTCACATAAAAACAAGACAGAAGCATTCTAAGAAACTTGTTATTGATGTGTGTCCTCACCTGAGAGAATTGAACATTTCTTTTGATAGAGCAGTTTTGAAACACTCTTTTTGTAGGATCTGCAAGTGGATATTTGGACGGCTTTGAGGCTTTCGTTGGAAACCGGAATATTTTCACATAAAAACTAGAGAGAAGCATTCTCGGAAACTTCTTTGTGATGTTTGCATTCAACTCACAGAGTTGAACATTCCTTTTCATAGAGAAGTTTTGAAACCCTCTTTTTGTAGGATCTGCAAGCAGACATTTGGAGCGATTTGAGGCCTCCGGTGAAAAAGGAAATATCTTCATATAAAAACTAGACAGAAGCATTCTCAGAAATTACTTTGTGATGTGTGCATTCGACTCACAGAGTTGAAACTTCCTTTTGATAGAGCAGATTTGAAACACTCTTTCTGTAGTATTTTGAAGTGGATATTTGGACAGCTTTGAGGCCTTCACTGGAAACAGGTATATCTTCACATAAAAACTACACAGAAGCACTCTCAGAAACTGCTTTGTGATGTTTGCATTCCACTCACAGCGTTGAATATTCCTTTTCATAGAGCTGTTTTGAAACAATCTTTTTGTAGAATCTGTAAATGGACACTTGGAGGACTTTGAGGGCTATGGTGAAAAAAGAAATATCTTCTCATAAAAACTATACAGAAGAATTCTCAGAAATTCTTTGTGATGTGTGTACTCAACTCACAGAGTTGAACCTTTCTTTTAATAGAGCAGTTTTTAAATACTGTTTTTGTAGAAAATGCAAGTGGATATCTGGATAGCTTTGAGGCTTTCGTTGGAAACGGAAATATCTTCACATAAAAACTAGACAGAAGCATTCTCAGAAACTTCTTTGTGATGTTTACCTTCATCTCACAGAGTTGAAAATTCCTTTTCATAGAGCAGTTTCGAAACACTCTTTTTGTAGACTCTGCAAGCGTTCATTTGGAGCTCTTTGAGGCTTTCGTTCAAAAGGAGAATATCTTCACATAAAAACTAGACAGAAGCATTATCAGAAACATCTTCGTGATGTGTGCATTGAACTCACAGAGTTGAACCCTTCTTTTGATAGAGCAGTTTTGAAACACTCTCTTTGTAGAATCTGCAAGTGGATATTTGGTGTGCTTTGAGGCCTATGGTGAAAAAGGAAATATCTTAACATAAAAACTAGGCAGATGCATTCTCAGAAACTTATTTGTGAAGTGTTAACTCAACTCACAGAGTTGAACCTTTATTTTGATAGAGCAGTTTTGAAACACTCTTTTTGTGGAATCTGCACGAGGACATTTGGAGCGCTTTGTGGCCTTCGTTGGAAACGGGAATATCCTCACATAAAAACTACACAGAGGCATTCTCAGAAACTCCTTTGTGATGTTTGAATTCAACTCACAGAGTTGAACATTCCCTTTCATAGAGCAGTTTTGAAACACAGTTTTTCTAATATCTGGAAGTGGACATTTTGAGCGCTTTGAGGTCTATGGGGAAAAAGGAAATATCTTCACATAAAAACTAGACAGAAGCATTCTCAAAAACTTCTTTGTGATGTGTGCCCTCAACTCACAGGGTTAGACCTTTTTTTTGATAGAGCAGTTTTGAAATACTCTACTTGTAGAATTTAAAGTGGATATTTCGACAGCTTTGAGGCTTTCGTTGGAAACGGGAATATCTTCATATAATAACCAGACAGAAGCATTCTCAGAAACTTCTTTCTCATGTTTGCAATCAAATCACAGAGTTGAACATTCCTTTTCATAGAGTAGTTTTGAAAAACCCTTTTTGTACAATTTGCAAATGGACATTTGGAGCGCTTGGAGGCCTACAGTGAAAAAGGAAATATCTTCACATAAAAATTAGACAAAAGCATTCTCAGAAATTTCTTTGTGATGTGTGTACTCAACTCACAGAGATGAATCTCTCTTTTGCTAGAGCAGTTTTGATTCACTCTTTTTGAAGCAATTACAAGTGGATATTTGGACAGCTTTGTGGCATTCATTGGGAACGCGAATATGTTCACATAAAAACTAGACAGAAGCATTCTCAGAAACTTCTTTGTGATGTTTGCATTCAGCTCACAGAGTTCAGCATTTCTTTTCATACAGCAGTTTTAAAACACTCTTTTTGTAGTATCTGCTAGTGGACATTTCGAGCGCTTTGAGGCCTATGTTGAAAAAGGAAATATCTTCACATAAAAACTAGACAGAAGTATTCTCAGGAACTCCTTTGTGTTGTGTGTACTCAACTCACAGAGTTAAACCGTCTTTTGATAGAGCAGTTTCGAAACATTCTTCTTGTAGAATTTACAATTAAATATTCTGACAGGTTTGAGGATTTCATTGGAATGGGGAGTATCTTCACATAAAAACTGGACAGAAGCATTTTCAGAAACTGCTTTCTGACATGTGCATTCAACTCACCGAGTTGAAACTTTCTTTTGATAGAGCAGATTGGAAACACTCTTTTTGTAGAATTTGCAAGTGGATATTTGCACAGCTTTGAGGCCTTCTTTGGAAACGGGTGTATCTTCACATAAAAACTAGTTAGAAGCGTTCTAGTAAACTGCTTTTTGATTTTTGCGTTCAACTCACAGAGTTGAGCATTTCTTTTCATAGAGCAGTTTTGAAACATTCTTTTTGTAGAATCTGCACTTGGACATTTGGAGTGCTTTGAGGCCTATGGTGGAAAAGGGAATATCTTCACATAAAAACCAGACAGAAGCATTCTCAGAAACTACTTTGCGATGTGTGCTGCCAACTCACAGAGTTGAACATTCCTTTTCATAGAGCAGTTTCGAAACACTCTTTTTGTAGAATCTGCAAGTGGTCATTTGGAGTGCTTTGATGCCTTCCTTCAAAACGGGAATATCTTCACATAAAAACTAGATCGAAGCATTTTCAGAAACAACTTTGTGATGTGTGCATTAAACTCACAGAGTTGAACCCTTCTTTTGATAGAGCAGTTTGAAACACTCTCTTTGTAGTATGTGCAAGTGGACATTTGTTGTGCATGAGGCCTATCATGCAAAAGGAAATATCTTAACATAAAAAGTTGACAGAAGCATTCTCAGAAACTTATTTGTGATGTGTGCACTCCACTCACAGAGTTGAACCTATCTTTTGATAGAGCAGTTTTGAAACATTATTTTTGTGCAATCTGCACCTGGACATTAGGAGCACTTTGTGGCCTTCGTTGGAAACGAGAATATCTTCACATAAAAACTAGAAAGAAGCATTCTCAGAAACTTCATTGTGATATTTGCATTCAACTCACAGAGTTGAACATTCCTTGTCATAGAGCAGTTTTGAAACACTCTTTTTGCAGAATCTACAGTGGTCCTTTGGAGCACTTTGAGGCCTTCGTTCGAAACAGGAATATCTTCATTTAAAAACTAGACAGAATTATTATCAGCAACATCTTTGTGATTTCTGCATTCAACTCAGAGAATTGAACTCTTCTTTTGATAGAGCAGTTTTGAAACACTCTCTTTGTAGAATCTGCAAGTGGACTTTTGGTGTGCTTTGAGGCTTGTGGTGAAAACGGAAATATGTTAACATGAAAACTAGACAGACGCATTCTCCGAAACTTATTTGTGATGTGTGCACTCAGCTCACATAGTTGAACCTTTCTTTTGAGAGAGAAATTTTGAAACCCTCTTTTTGTGGAATCTGCAAGCGCACATTTGGAACGCTTTGTGGCCTACGTTGGAAACGGGAATATCTTCACATAAAAACTAGACAGAAGCATTCTCAGAAACTTCTTTGTGATGTTGACATTCAACTCACAGAGTTGAACATTCCCTTTCATAGAGCAGTTTTGAAACACTCTTTTTGTAGAATCTGGAAGTGGACGTTTGGAGCGCTTTGAGGCCAATGGTGAAAAGAAATATCTTCACATAAAAACTAGACAGAAGCATTCTCAGAAACTTCTTTGTGATATGTGTACTCAACTCACAGATTTAAATCTTTCCTTTGATAGAGCAGTTTTGAAACACTCTTCTTGTAGAATTTGCAAGTGGATATTAGGATAGCTTTGAGGCTTTCCTTGGAAATGGGAATATCTTCATATAAAAACCAGACAGAAACATTCTCAGAAACTTCTTTGTGATGTTTGCATTCAACTCACAGAGTTGAACATTCCTTTTTATAGAGCAGTTTTGAAACACTCTTTCTGGAATCTGCAAGTGGACATTTGGAGCGCTTGGTGGCCTATGGTGAAAAAGGAAATATCTTCACATAAAAACGAGACAAAAGCATTCTCAGAAACTTCTTTGTGAAGTGTGTACTCAACTCACAGAGTTGAACCTTTCTTTTGCTGCAGCAGTTTTGAATCACTCCTTTTGAAGCATTTCCAAGTGGATACTTGGACAGCTTTGAGGCTTTCATTGGAAACGGGAGTATCTTCACATAAAAACTAGACAGAAGAATTCTCAGAAACTTCTTTGTAAAGTGTGCATTCAACTCACGGTGTTGACACTTTCTTTTAATAGAGCAGATTGGAAACACTCTTTTTGTAGTATTTGCAATTGGATATTTGGACAGCTTTGACGCTTTCTTTGGAAACGGGACTATCTTCACATAAAAACTAGACAGAAGCATTCTCAGAAACTTCTTTGTGATGTGTGCACTCAACTCACAGACTTGAACCTTTCTTTTGATAGAGCAGTTTTGAAACACTCTTTTTGTAGTATCTGGAAGGGGACATTTGGAGCGCTTTGAGGCCTAAGGTGAAAAAGGAAATATCGTCACATAAACATTAGACAGAATCATTATCAGAAACATCTTTCTGATGTGTGCATCCAACTCACAGAGTTGAACCCTTCTTTTGATAGAGCAGTTTTGAAACACTCTCTTTGTAGATCTGCAAGTGGACATTTGGTGTGCTTTGAGGTCTACGGTGAAAAAGAAATATCTTAACAAAAAAACTAGACAGAAGCATTCTCAGTAACTTTTTGTGATGCTTACATTCAACTCACAGAATTGAACATTCCTCTTCATAGAGCAGTTTTGAAACACTCTTTTGTAGTATCTGGAAGTGGATATTTGGGGGGCTTTGAGGCCTATGGCGAAAAAGGAAATACCTTCACATGAAAACTAGACAGAAGCATCCTCGGAAACTTCTTTGTGATGTGTGTAGTGAAGTCAGAGAGATGAACCTTTCTTTTTATAGAGCAGTTTTGAAACACTCTCTTTGTAGAATCTGCAAGTGGACATTTGTTGTGCTATGAGACCTACAGTGAAAAAGGAAATGTCTTCATATGAAAACTAGACAGAAGCATTCTCAGAAACTTCTTTGAGATGTGTGCAGTCAACTCACAGAGTTAAACCTTTCTTTTGATAGAGCAGATTGGAAACACTCTTTTTGTAGTATTTACAAGTGGGTATTTGGACAAATTTGAGGCCTTCACAGGAAACGGGAATATCTTCACATAAAAACAAGACAGAAGCATTCTAAGAAACTTCTTCGTGATGTGTGTCCTCAACTCACAGAGTGGAACATTTCTTTTGATAGGGAAATTTTGAAACACTCTTTGTACGATCTGCAAGTTGATATTTGGAGAGATTTGAGGCTCTCATTGGTAACGGGAATATTTTCACATAAAAACAAGTCAGAAGCTGTCTCAGAAACTTCTTTGTGATGTTTGCATTCAACTCACAGAGTTGAACATTCCTTTTCATAGAGCAGTTTTGAAACACTCTTTTTGTAGAATGTGCAAGTGGTCATTTGGAGCGCTTTGAGGCCTTCGTTCAAAAAGGGAATATCTTCACAGAAAAGCTAGACAGAATCATTATCAGAATCATCTTTGTGATGTGTGCCTTCAACTCACAGAGTTGAGCCGCTCCTTTGATACAGCAGTTTTGAAACACTGTCTTTGTAGAATCTGCAAGTGGACATTTGGTGTGCTTTGAGGCCTATGGTGAAAAAGGAAATATCTTAAAATAAAAACTAGTCAGAAGCATTCTCATAAGCTTGTTTGTGATGTGTGCACTCAACTCACAGAGTTGAACCTTTCTTTTGACAGAGCAGTTTTGAAACTCCCTTTTTGTGGAATCTGAAAGTGGACATTTGGAGAGCTTTGAGGAGTATGGTGGGAAAGAAATATCTTCACACAAAAAAATAGACAGAAGAATTCTCAGAAACTTCTTTGTGATGTTTGCATTCATTTCACCGAGTTGAACATTCCTTTTCACAGAGCAGGTTTGAAACACTCTTTTTGTAACATCTGGAAGTGGACATTTGGAGCGCTTTGAGGCCTATGGTGAAAAATGAAATATCTTCTCATAAAAACCAGATGGAAACATTCTCAGAAACTTCTTTGAAACGTGTGCATTAAACTCACAGAGTTGAACTTTTCTTTTCATAGAGCAGATTGGAAAAACTCTTTTTGTAGAATTTGCAAGTTGATATTTGGACAGCTTCGAGGCCTTCACTGGAAACAGGAATATCTTCACATAAAAACAAGACAGAAGCATTCTAAGAAACTTCTTTGTGATGTGTGTCCTCTACTCACAGAGTTTAACGTTTCTTTTTCATAGATCAGTTTTGAAACACTCTCTTTGTAGGATCTACAAGGGAATACTTGGACAGCTTTGAGGCTTTCATTGGAAACGGAATATTTTCACATAAAAACTAGGCAGAAGCATTCTCAGAAACATCTTTGTGATGTTTGCATTCAACTCACAGAGTTGACCATTCCTTTTCATAGAGGAGTTTTGAAACACTCTTTTTGTAGAATCTGCAAGTGGACATTTGGAACGATTTGAGGCCTATGGTGAAAAAAGAAATGTCTACACATAAAAAGTAGCCAGAAGCATTCTCAGAAACTACTTTGCTATGTGTGTACTCAACTCACAGAGTAAAAGCTTTCTTTTGATAGAGCAGTGCTGAAACACACTTTTTGTAGAATTTACAAGTGGATATTAGGTCAGCTTTGAGGCTTTCGTTGGAAACGGGAATATCTTCACATAAAAAGCAGAGAGAAGCATTCTCAGAAACTTCTTTGTGATGTGCGCATTCAACTCACAGAGTTGAAACTTTCCTTTGATAGAGCAGATTTGAAACACTCTTTTTATAGAATTTGCAAGTGGATATTTGGACAGCTTTGAGGCCTTCGCTGGAAATGGGAATATTTTCACATAAAAACTAGACAGAAGCATTCTCAGAAACTACTTTGTGATGTTTGCATTCAACCCACAGAGTTGAACATTACTTTTCATAGAGCAGTTTTGAAACTCTCTTTTTGTAGAATCTGTAAGTGGACACTTGGAGCCCTTTGAGGTCTATGGTGAAAAAGGAAATATCGTCATATAAAAACTAAACAGAAGAATTCTCAGAAAATTTTTGTGATGTTTGCATTCAACTCACAGAATTGAACATTGCTTTTCATAGAGCAGATTTGAAACACTCTTTTTGTAGAATCTGGAAGTGGTCAATTGTAGCGCTTTGAGGCCTTTGTTCGAATCGGGAATATCTTCACATAAAAACTAGGCAGAAGCATTGTCAGAAACACCTTTGTGAAGTGTGCATTCAACTCACAGAGTTGAAACCTTCTTTTGATAGAGAAGCTTTGAAACACTCTCTTTGTAGAATCGGCAGGTGGACATTTGTTGTGCTTTGAGGCCTATGTTGAAAAAGGAAATATCTTCACATAAAAACTAGACAGAAGCATTCTCAGAAACTTCTTTGTGATGTCTGCATTCAACTCTCAGAGTTGAACATTTTTTTTCATAGAGCAGTTTTGAAACACTCTTTTTGTAATATCTGGAAGTGGACATTTGGAGCGCTTTGAGGATTATGGTGAAAAAGGAAATATCTTCACATAAAAACTAGACAGAAGCATTCTCAGAAACTGGTTTGTAATGTGTGTACTGAACTCACAGAGATAAAGCTTTCTTTTGATAGAGCAGTTTTGAAACACTCTTTTTGTAAAATTTAAAAGTGGATATTAGGACACCTTTCAAGCTTTCCTTAAAAACGGGAATATCTTCACATAAAAACTAGACAGAAGCATTCTCCGAAACTTCTTTGTGATGTTTGCATTCAACTCACAGATTTGATCATTTCTTTTCATAGAGGAGTTTTGAAACACTTTTTGTAGAATCTCCAAGTGGTCATTTGGAGCATTTTGAGGCCTTCTTTTGAAACAGGAATATCTTCACATAGAAACTAGACAGAATCATTACCAGACACATCTTTGTGATGTGCGCATTGAACTGACAGAATTAAACCTTTCTTTTGTTAGAGGAGTTTTGAAACACTCTCTTTATAGTATCTGCAAGTGGACATTGGGTGTGCTTTGAGGCCTATGGTGAAAAAGGAAATATCTTAATATAAAAACTCGACAGAATTATTGTCAGAAACTTATTTGTGATGTGTGCAGACAACTCACAGAGTGGAACCTTTCTTTTGATACAGCAGTTTTGAAACACCCTTTTTGTTTAATCTGCACGTGGACATTTGGAGTGCTTTGTGGCCTTCATTGGAAACGGGAATATCTTCACATAAAAACTAGACAGAAGCATTCTCAGAAATTTCTTGGTGATGTTTGCATTCAACCCACAGAGGTGAACATTCCCTTTCATAGAGCAGTTTTGAAACACTCTTATTGTAGTATCTGGAATTGGATATATGGAGCGCTTTGAGTCCTATGGTGAAAAAGGTAATATCTTCACATAAAAAGTAGACAGAAGCATTCTCAGAAACCTCTTTGTGATGTGTGCATTCAACTCACACAGTGGAACCTTTCTTTTCATAGAGCAGATTGGAAACACTCTTTTTGTAGAATTTTCAAGTGGATATTTGGACAGCTTAGAGGCCTTCACAGGAAACGGGAATACCTTCACATAAAAACAAGACAGAAACATTCTGGGAAACATCTTTGTGATGCGTGTCCTCAACTCACAGAGTTGAACATTTCTTTTTCATAGAGCAGCTTTGAAACCCTCTCTTTATAGGATCTGCAAGGGAATATTTGGACAACTTTGAGGCTTTCGTTGGAAACGAGAATATTTTCACATAAAAACTAGTCAAAAGCATTCTCAAAAACTTATTTGTGATGTGTGCACACAACTCACAGGGTTGAACATTCCTTTTCATAGAGCATTTTTTAAACACTCTTTTTGCAGAATCTGTAAGTTGTCATTTGGAGCACTTTGAGGCCTTCGTTCGAAACGGGAATATCTTCACATAGAAACTAGACAGAAGCATTCTCAGAAACATCTTTATAATGTGTGTACTCAACTCCCGGAGTTAAACCCTTCTTTTGATAGAGCAGCTTGGAAACACTCTTCTTGTAGAATTTACAAGTGGCTCTTAGGACACCTTTAAGGCTTTCCTTGGACATGGGAATATCTTCACATAAAAACCAGACAGAAGCATACTCAGAAACTTCTTTGTGATGCTTTCATTCAACTCACAGAGATGAACATTCCTTTTCATAGAGCAGTTTTGAAACAGTCTTTTTGTAGAATCTGCAAGTGGAGATTTGGAGCACTTGGTGGCCTATGGTGAAAAAGGAAATATCTTCACATAAAAACTAGACAAAAGCATTCTCAGAAACTTCTTTGTGATGTGTGCACTCAACTCACAGAGATGAATCTTTCCTTTGCTAGAGCAGTTTTGAATCACTATTTTTGAAGCATTTACAAGTGGATATTTGGACAGCTTTGAAGCTTTGGTTGGTAACGGGAATATCTTCATATAAAAACTAGATAGAAGCATTCTCAGAAACTTCTTTGGGATATGTTCATTCAACTTACAGTGTTGAAACTTTCTTTAAATAGAGCAGATTGGAAACACTCTTTTTGTAGAATTTGCAAATGAATATTTGGACAGCTTTGACGCTTTCATGGGAAACGGGAGTATCTTCACATAAAAACTGGACAGAAGCATTCTCAGAAACATCTTTGTGATGTGTGCATTCAACTCACAGAGTTGAAACTTACTTTTGATAGAGCGGATTTGAAACACTCTTTTTGTAGAATTTGCAAGTGGATATTTGGACAGCTTTGACGCTTTCATTGGAAACGGGTGTATCTTCCCATAAAAACTAGACAGAAGAATTCCAAGATACTTCTTTGTGATGTGTGTACTCAACTCACAGAGTTGAAACTTTCTTTTGATAGAGAGTTTTGAAACACTCTTTTTGTAGAATCTGCAAGTGGATATTTGGATAACTTTGAGTTTTTCATGGGAAACGCGAATATCTTCACATAAAAAGTAGACATGAGAATTCTCAGAAACTTCTTTGTGATGTTTGCATTCGACTCACAGAGTTGAACATTACTTTTCATAGGGCAGTTTTGAAACACTCCTTTTGTAGTATCTGCAAGCGGACTTTTGGAGTGCTTTGAGGCCTATGGTGAAAAATGAAATATCTTCACATGAAAACTAGACAGAAGCATTCTCAGAAACTTCTTTGTGATGTGTGCATTCAACTCACAGAGTTGAACATTCCCTTTCATAGAGCAGTTTTGAAACAATATTTTTGTAGTATCTGCAAGGGGACTTTTGGAGCACTTTGAGGCCATTGTTGAAAAAGGAAATATCTTCACATAAATACTAGACAGAAGCATTCTCAGAAACTTCTTTGTGATGTGTACATTCAACTCACAGAGTTGAACATTACTTTCCATGGAGCAGTTTTGAAACACTCTTTTTGTAGTATCTGGAAGTGGATATTTTGAACGCTTTGAGGCCTATGATGAAGAAGGAAATATCTTCACATAAAAATTAGATCGAAGCATTCTCAGAAACTACTTTGTGATGAGTGCATTCAACTCACAGTGTTGAACATTTCTTTTGATAGAGCAGATTGGAAACCCTCTTTATGTAGAATTTGCAAGTGGATATTTGGACAGCTTTGAGGCCTTCACTGGAAACCGGAAGATCTACAAATAAAAACAAGACAGAAGCATGCTAAGAAACTTCTTTGCGATATGTGTACTCAACTCACAGAGTTGAACATTTCTTTTTTTAGAGTAGTTTTGAAACACTCTCTTTGTAGGATCTGCAAGGGAATATTTGGACACCTTTGAGGCTTTCGTTGGAAACGGGAATATCTTCACATAAAAACTAGTCAGAGGCATTCTCAGAAACTTCTTCGTGATGTTTGCATTCAACTCACACAGTTGAATATTCCCTTTCATAGAGCAGTTTTGAAACACTCTTTTTGTAGTACCTGGAAAAGGACATTTGGAGCGCTTTGAGGCCTATGCTGAAAAAGGAAATATCTTCACATAAAAACTAGACAGAAGCATTCTCAGAAACTTCTCTGTGATGTGCGTACTCAACTCACAGAGTTGAACCTTTCTGTTGATACTGCAGTTTTGAAACATTCTTTTTGTATAATCTGCAAGTGGATATTTGGATAAATTTGAGGCTTTCGTTGGAAACGGGAATGTCTTCACATAAAAACTAGACAGAAGCATTCTCAGAAACTTTTTTTTGATGCTTGTATTCAACTCACAGAGTTGAACATTCCTTTTCATAGGGCAGTTTTGAAACACTCTTTTTGAAGTATCTGTAAGTGGAAACATGGAGCTCTTTGAGGCATATGCTGAAAAAGGAAATATCTTCCAATAAAAACTAGACAGAAGAACTCTCAGAAACTTCTTTGTGATGTGTGTACTCAATTCACAGAGTTAAACTTTTCTTTTGATAGAGCAGTTTTGAAACACTCTTTTTGTAGGGTGTGCAAGTGGATATTTGGATAGCTTTGAGAATTTCATTGGAAACGGGAATATCTTCACATAAAAACTAGACAGAAGCATTCTCAGAGACTTATTTGTGATGCTTGCATTCATCTCACAGAGTTGAACATTCCTTTCCATAGAGCAGTTTTGAAACACTCTTTTTGAGGAATATGCAATTGGATATTTGGAGCGATTTGAGACCTATGGTGAAAAATAAAATATCTTCACATAAAAAGTAGACAGAAGCATTCTCAGAAACTACTTTGTGATGTGTGTACTCAACTCACAGAGTTAAACCTTTCCTTTGATACAGCAGTTTTGAAACACTCTTCTTGTAGAATTTACAAGTAGATATTAAGACAGCATTGAGGATTTCTTTGGAAAAGGGAATATCTTCACAAAAAACTAGACAGAAGCATTCTCAGAAACTTTTTTGTGATGTGTGCATTCAACTCACAGAGTTGAAATTTTCTTTTGATAGAGGAGATTGGAAACAATCTTTTTGTAGAATTTGGAAGTGGATATTTGGACAGATTGGAGGCCTTCGCTGGAAATGGGTATATCTTCACATAAAAACTACACAGAAGCATTGTCAGAAACTTCTTTGTGATGCTTGCATTCAACTCACAGAATTGAACATTCCTTTTCATAGAGCAGTTTTGAAACACTTTTTTTGTAGAATACATAAGTGGAAGCTTGGAGGGCTTTGAGGTCTATGATAAAAAAGGAAATATCTTCCCATAAAAAATAGACATAAGAATTCTCCGAAACTTCTTTGTGAGGTGTGTACTCAACTCAGAGAGGTGAACTATTCTTTTGATTGAGCAGTTTTGAAACACTCTTTTTGTAGAATCTGCAAGTGGATATTTGGATAGCTTTGAGGATTTCGTAGGAAACGGGAATGGCTTCACATAAAAACTAGACAGAAGCATTCTCAGAAACTTCTTTGTGATGTTTGCATTCAACTCACAGATTTGAAAATTCGCTTACATAGAGCAGTTTTGAAACACACTTTTTGTAGTATCTGGAAGTGGACATTTGGAGCGATTTGAGGCCTATGGTGAAAATGGAAATATCTTCTAATAAAAACTAGTCAGAAGAATTATCAGAGACTTCTTTGTGATGTGTGTACTCAATTCACAGAGTTGAACTTTATTTTGATAGACCAATTTTGAAACAATCTTTTTGTAGTATCTGCAAGTGGATATTTGGATAGCTTTGAGGATTTCCATGGAAACGGGAATATCCTCACATAAAAACTAGACAGAAGCATTCTCAGAAACTTCTTTTTGATGTTTGCATTCGACTCACGGAGTTGAAAATTCCCTTTCATAGAGCAGTTTTGAAACACTCTTTTTGTAGGATCTTCAAGTGTTCATTTGGAGCGCCTTGAGGCCTTCGTTCAAAATGGGACTATCTTCACATAAAAACTAGACAGAAGCATTATCAGAAAAACCTTTCTGATGTGTGCATTCAACTCACAGAGTTGAACCATTCTTTTCTAGAGCAGTTTTGAAACACTCTGTAGAATCTGCAAGTGGACATTTGGTGTGCTTTGAGGCCTTTGGTGAAAAAGGAAATATCTTAACATAAAAACTAGACAGAAGCCTTCTCAGAAACATATTTGTGATGTGTGCACTCAACTCACAGAGTTGAACCTTTCTTTTGATAGAGCAGTTTTGAAACACTCTTTTTGTAGTATCTGTAAGTGGAGATTTAGAGCGCTTTGAGGACTATGGTGAAAAAGGAAATATCTTCACATGAAAACTAGACAGAAGCATTCTCAGAAACTTCTTTGTGATGCTTGCATTCAACTCGCAGAGTTGAAAATTCCTTTTCATAGAGCAGTTTTGAAACACTCTTTTTGTAGAATCTGCTAAAGGTCATTTGGAGCACTCTGAGGCCTTCGTTCGAAACGGGAATACTTCACATAAAAATTAGACAGAATCATTATCAGAAACACCTTTGTTATGTGTGCAATCAACTCACAGAGTTGAACCCTTTTTTTGATAGAGCATTTTTGAAACACTCTTTTTATAGGATCTGCAAGTGGACATTTTGTGTGCTTTGAGGCCCATGGTGTAAAAGGAAACATCTTAACATAAAAACTAGGCAGAAGCATTCTCAGAAACTCCTTTGTGATGTGTGCATTCAACTCACAGTGTTGAAACTTTCTTTTGATAGAGCCGATTTGAAACACTCTTTTTGTAGAATTTGCAAGTGGATATTTGGACAGCTTTGAGACCTTCGCTGGAAACGGGAATATCTTCACATAAAAACTAGACAGAAGCATACTCAGAAACATCCTTGTGATGTTTGCATTCAATTCATGGAGTTGAACATTCCTTTTCATAGGGTAGTTTTGAAACACACTTTTTGTAGTATCTGCAAGTGGACTTTTGGTACGCTTTGAGGCCTATAGTGAAAAAGGAAATATCTTCACATAAAAACTAGACAGAAGAACTCTCAGAAACTTCTTGGTGATGTGTGTACTCAACTCACAGTGTTGTACCTTTCTTTTGATAGAGGAGATTTGAAACACTCTTCTTGTGGAATCTGCAAGTGGACATTTGGAGTGCTTTGTGGCCTTCGTTGGAAACGGGTATATCTTCATATAAAAACGAGACAGAAGCATTCTCAGAAACATCTTAGTGAAGTTTGCATTCACCTCACAGAGTTGGAAATTCCCTTTCATAGAGCAGTTTTGAAACACTCTTTTTGTAGTATCTGGAATTGGACATTTGGAGCGCTTTCAGGACCATGGTGAAAAAGGAAATATATTCACATAAAAACTAGACAGAAGTATTCTCAGAAACTTCTTTGTGATGTGTGTACTTAAATCACAGTGTTGAATTTTCTTTTGATAGAGCAGTTTTGAAACACTCTTTTTGTAGAATCTGCAAGTGGATATTTGGATAGGATTTAGGCTTTCGTTGGAAACGGGAATATCTTCACATAATAACTAGACAGAAGCATTCTCAGAAACTTCTTTGTGATGTTTGCATTCAACACACAGATTTGAGCATTCCTTTTCACAGAGTAGTTTTTAAACACTCTTTTTGTAGAATCTGCAAGTGGTCATTTGGAGCACTTTGAGGCCTTCGTTCGAAAAGGGAATACCTTCACATAAAAACTAGACAGAATCATTATCAGAAATATCTTTGCAATATGTGCATTGAACTCACAGAGTTGAATCCGTCTTTTTATAGAGCAGTTATGAAACACTCTCTTTGTAGGATCTGCAAGTGGACATTTTGGTGTGTTTTGAGGCCTATGGTGAAAAATGAAGTATCTTAACATAAAAACTAGACAGAAGCATTGTCAGAATCTTATTTGTGATGTGAGCACTCAACTCACGTATTTGGACCTGTCTTTTGATAGAGCAGATTTGAAACACTTTTTTTGTGTAATCTGCAAGTGCACATTTAGAGCGCTTTGTGGCCTTCATTGGAAACGGGAATATCTTCACATAAAAACTAGACGGAAGCATTCTCAGAAACTTCTTTGTGATGTGTGTACTCAACTCACTGAGTTTAACCTTTCTTTTGATAGAGAAGTTTTGAAACAATCTTTTTGTAGTGTCTGCAAGTGGATATTTGGATAGCTTTGAGGCTTTCGTTGGAAACGAGAATATCTTCACATTAAAACTAGACAGAAGCATTCTCAGAAACTTGTTTGTGATGTGTGTACTCAACTAACAGAGTTTAACCTTTCTTTTGATAGAGCATTTTTGAAACACTCTTTTTGTAGGATCAGCAAGTGGACATTTTGTGTGCTTTGAGGCCTATGGTGAAAAAGGAAATATCTTCCCATAAAAACTAGACAGAAGCATTCTCAGAAACTTCCTTGTGATGTGTGTACTCAACTCACAGAGATGATTCTTTCTTTTGATAGCGCAGTTTTGAATCACTCTTTTTGAAACATTTACAAGTGCATATTTGGACAACTTTGAGTCTTTCGTTGGAAACGGGAATATCTTCTCATAATAACTAAACAAAAGCATTCTAAGAAAATTCTTTGTGATGTGTGCATTCAACTCACGGAGTTGAACCTTTGTTTTGATGCAGCAGATTTGAAAAACTCTTCTTGTAGAATTTGCAAGTGGATATTGCACAGCTTTGAGACCATCGCTGGAAACGGGAATATCTTCACATAGAAACTAGACAGAAGCATACTCAGAAAGTTGTTTTTGATGTTAGCATTCAACTCGCGGAGTTGAATATTCCTTTTCATAGGGCAGTTTTGAAACACACTTTTTGTAGTATCTGCAAGTGGACTTTTGGAGCTCTTTGAGGCCTATCGTGAAAAAGGAAATATCTTCCCATAAAAATTACACAGAAGAATTCACAGAAACTTCTTTGTGATGTGTGTACTCAACTGACAGAGTTTAAGCATTTTTTTGATAGAGGAGATTTGAAACACTCTTTTTCTGGAATCTGCAGGTGGACATTTGGAGTGCTTTGTCGTCTTCGTTCGAAACGGGAATATCTTCACATAAAAACTAGACAGAAGCGTTCACAGAAACTTCTTTGTGATGTTTGCATTCAACTCACAGAGTTGAATATTCTCTTTCATAGAGCAGTTTTGTAACACTCTTTTTGCAGTATCTGGAAGTGGACATTCGGAGTGCTTTGAGGCCTATGGTGAAAAAGGAAATATCTTCATATAAAAACTAGACAGAAGCATTCTAAGAAACTGCTTTGTGATGTGTGTACTCAACTCACAGTGTTAAACCTTTCCTTTGATAGAGCACTTTTGAAACACTCTTCTTGTAGAATTCACAGGTGGATATTAGGACAGCTTTGAGGCTTTCGTTGGAAATGGTAATATCTTCACATAAAAACCAGACAGAAGCATTCTCAGAAACTTCTTTGTGAGGTTTGCATTCAACTCACAGAGTTGAACATTTCTTTTCATAGAGCAGTTTTGAAGCACTCTTTTCGCAGAATCTGCAAGTTGTCATTTGTAGCACTTTGAGGCCTTCGTTCGAAACGGGAATATCTCCACATAAAAACTAGACAGAATCATTATCAGAAACATCTTTGTGATGTGTGCATTCAACTCACAGAGTTGAACCTTTCTTTTGATACAGCAGTTTTGAAACACTCTGTAGAATGTGCAAGTGGACATTTGGTGTGCTTTGTGGCCTATTGTGAAACAGGAAATAATATAAAAACTAGGACAGAAGCATTCTCAGAAACTTATTTGTGAAGTCTGCACTCAACTCACATATTTGAACCTTTCTTTTCTTAGAGAAGTTTTGAAACACTCTTTTTGTGGAATCTGCAAGTGCACATTTGACGCGCTTTGTGGCTTTTGTTGGAAACGGAAATATCTTCACACAAAAACTCGACAGAACCATTCTCAGAAACTTCTTTGTGATGTTTGCATTCAACTCACAGAGTTAAACTTTCCCCTTCATAGAGCAGTTTTGAAACACTCTTTTTGTAGTACCTGGAAACGGACATTTGGAGCGCTTTGAGGCCTATGCTGAAAAAGGAAATATCTTCATATAAAAACTACACAGAAGCATTCTCAGAAACTTCTTTGTGATGTGTGTACTCAAATCATGGAGTTGAACCTTTCTTTTGATACAGCAGTTTGGAAACAGTCTATTTGTAGAATCTGAAAGTGGATATTTGGGTAGCTTTGAGGCTTTCGTTGGAAACGGGAATGTCTTCACATAAAAACTAGACAGAAGCATTCTCAGAAACTTTTTTGTGATTCTTTTATTCAACTCACAGAGTTGAACATTCCTTTTCATAGAGCAGATTTGAAACACTCTTTTTGAAGCATCTGTAAGTGGAAAATTGGAGCTCTTTGAGGCATATGCTGAAAAAGGAAATATCTTCCAATAAAAATTAGACAGAAGAATTCTCAGAAACTTCCTTGTGATGTGTGTACTCAACTCACAGAGTTGAACCTTTCTTTTGATAGAGCAGTTTTGAAGCACTCTTTTTGTAGAATCTGCAAGTGGATATTTGGATAGCTTTGAGGCTTTCGTTGGAAACGGGAATGTCTTCACATAAAAACCAGACAGAAGCATTCTCAGAAACTTTTTTTGATGCTTGTATTCAACTCACAGAGTTGAACATTCCTTTTCATAGAGCAGTTTTGAAACACTCTTTTTGAAGAATCTGTAAGTGGAAACATGGAGTTCTTTGAGGCATATGCTGAAAAAGGAAATATCTTCTAATAAAAACTAGACAGAAGAATTCTCAGAAACTTCTTTGTGATGAGTGTACTCAACTCACAGATTTGAACTTTTCTTTTGATAGAGCAGTTTTGAAACACTCTTTTTGTAGGGTGTGCAAGTGGATATTTGGATAGCTTTGAGGATTTCGTTGGAAAAGGGAATATCTTCACATAAAAACCAGAGAGAAGCATTCTCAGAAACTTATTTGTGATGCTTGCATTCATCTCACAGAGTTCAAAATTCCTATTCATAGAGCAGTTTTGAAACACTCTTTTTATGGAATCTACAAGTGGACATTTGGAGCGATTTGAGACCTATGGTGAAAAAGGAAGTATCTTCACATAAAAAGTAGACAGAAGTATTCTCAGAAACTATTTTGTGATGTGCGTACTCAACTCACAGAGTTAAACCTTTCCTTTGATACAGCAGTTTTGAAACACTCTTCTTGTGGAATTTACAAGTGCATATAAGGACAGCATAAAGGATTTCGTTGGAAACGGGGATATCTGCACATAAAACTAGAGAGAAGAATTCTCAGAAACTTCTTTGTGATGTGTGCATTCAACTCACACAGATGAAATTTTCCTTTGGTAGAGCAGGTTGGAAACACTCTTTTTGTAGAATTTGCAAGTGGATATTTGGACAGCTTTGGGGCCTTTGCTGGAATTGGGTATATCTTCACATAAAAACTAGACAGAAGCATTTTCAGAAACTACTTTTTGATGCATGCATTCAACTCGCAGAATTGATCATTCCTTTTCATAGAGCGGTTTTGAAACACTCTTTTTGTAGAATCTGTAAGTGGAAACTTGGAGCACTTTGAGGCCTATGGTGAAAAAGGAAATATCTTCCCATAACAACTAGACAGAAGAATTCTCAGAAACTTCCTTGTGATGTGTGTACTCAACTCACAGATTTGAACATTTCTTTTAATGGAGCTGTTTTGAAACACTCTTTTTGTAGAATCTGCAAGTGGATATTTGGACAGCTTTGAGGCTTTCGTTGGAAACGGAAATATCTTCATATAAAAACTAGACAGAAGCATTCTCAGAAAATTCTTTGTCATGTGAGTCCTCAACTCACAGAGTTCAACTTTTCTTTTGATAGAGCAGATTTGAAACACTCTTTTTGTAGCATCTGCAAGTGGATATTTGGATAGCTTTGAGGATTTCGTTGATAAAGTGAATATCTTCACATAAAAACTAGAGAGAAGCGTTCTCAGAAATGTCTTTGTGATGTTTGCATTCATCTCACAGAGTTGAACATTCCCTTTCATAGAGCATTTTTGAAACACTCTTTTCGTAGTATCTGCAAGTGGACATTTGGAGCGCTTTGGGTCCTACAGTGAAAAAGGAATTATCTTCACATAAAAAGGAGACAGAAGCATTCTCAGAAACTTCTTGGTCATGTGTGTACTCAACTCACAGAGTTGAACCTTTCTTTTCATACAGCAGTTTTGAAAAACTCTTTCTGTAGGATCTGCAAGTAGATATTTGGATAGCTTTAAGGGTTTCGTTGGAAACGGGAATATCTTCTCATAAAAACTAATCAGAAGCATTCTCAGAAACTTCTTTGTGATGCTTGCATTCAGCTCACAGAGTTTAACGTTCCTTTTCATAGAGCAGTTTTGAAACACTCTTTTTGAAGAACCTGTCAGTGGAAACTTGGAGCGCTTTGAGGGCTATGTTGAAAATATCTTACCATAAAAACTAGACAGAAGAATTCTCAGAAACTTCTTTGTGATGTGTGTACTCAACTTTATAGGGTTGAACTTTTCTTTTGAAAGAGCAGTTTTGAAACACTCTTTTTGTAGGGTTTGCAAGTGGGTATATGGATCGCTTTGAGTATTTCCTTGGAAGTGGGAATATCTTCACATAAAAACGAGACAGAAACATTCTAAGAAACTAATTTGTGATATTTGCATTCAACTCACAGAGATGAACATTCCCTTTCATAGAGCAGTTTTGAAACACTCTTTTTGTAGTATCTGAAAGTAGAGATTTGCAGCGCTTTGAGGCCTTTGGTTAAAAAGGAAATATCTTCACAGAAAACTAGACAGAAGTATTCTCAGAAACTGCTTCGTGATGTGTGTACTCAACTTACATAGTTGAACATTTTTTTTGATACAGCAGTTTTGAAACACTCTTTTTGTAGAATCTGCAAGTGGATATTCGGATAGCTATGAGGCTTTTGTTGGCAACGGGAATATCTTCACAGAAAAACTAGACAGAAGCATTGTCAGAAACTTCTTTGTGACGCTCGCAATCAACTCACAGTGTTGAACATTCCTTTTCATAGAACAGTTTTGAAACACTCTTTTTGTAGTATCTGGAAGTGTACATTTTGAGCGCTTTGAGGTCTATGGTGAAAAAGGAAATATCTTCACATAAAAACTAGACAGAAGCATTCTCAGAAATTTCTTTATGATGTGTGTACTCAACAAAGAGAGTTGAACCTTTCCTTAATACAGCAGTTTTGAAACACTCTTTTTGGAGAAACTCAAAATGGATAATTGGATAGCTTTGGGTATTTCATTGGAAGCGGGAATATCTTCACATAAAAACTAGAGAGAAGCATTCTCAGAAACTTCTTTGTGATGTTTGCATTCAACTCACAGAGATGAACATTCCTTTTCATGGAGCAGTTTTGAAACACTCTTTTTGTCGTATCTGGAAGTGGACAATTGGAGCGATTTGTGCCTTATGGTGAAAAAGGAAACATCTTCATATAAAAATTAGACAGAAGCATTCCCAGAAACTTCTTTGTGATGTGTGCACTCAACTCACAGAGTTGAACATTTCTTTTGAGACAGGAGTTTTGAAACACTCTTTTTGTAGAATCTGAAAGTGGATATTTGGATAGCTTTGAGGATTTCACTGGAAACAGGAATATCTTCAATTAAAAACTATACAGAAGCATTCTCAGAAAATTCTTTGTGATGTGTGCATTCAACTCACAGAGTTGAATCTTTCTTTTGATAGAGCAGATTGGAAACACTTTTGTTGTAGTATTTGCAAGTGGATATTTGGACAGCTTTGAGGCCTTCGTTGGAAACAGGTATCTCTTCACATAAAAACTAGACAGAAGCATTGTCAGAAACTACTTTGTGATGCTTGCATTCAACTCACAGAGTTGAACATTCGTTTTCCTAGAGCAGTTTTGAAACACTCTTTTTGTAGAATCTGTAAGTGGAAACTTGGAGCCCTTTGAGGCCTATGGTGAAAAAGGAAATATCTTCCCATAAAAACTAGACAGAAGAATTCTCAGAAACTTCTTTGTGATATGTGTACTCAACTCTCAGAGTTGAACTTTTCTTTTGATAGAGCTGTTTTGAAACACCCTTTTTGTAGAATCTGCAAGTGGATATTTAGAATGCTATGAGGATTTCGTTGGAAACGAGAATACCTTCACTTAAAAACTAGACAGAAGCAGTCCCAGAAACTTCTTTGTGATGTTTGCATTCAAATCACAGAGTTGAACATTCCGTTTCATAGAGCAGTTTTGAAACACTCTTTTTGTAGAATCTGTAAGTGAACATTTGGAGCGCTTAGAGGCCTATGGTGTAAAAGGAAATATCTTCGCATAAAAACTAGACAGAAGAATTCTCAGAAACTTCCTTGGGATGTGTGTACTCAACTCACAGAGTTGTACTCTTCTATTGATAGAGCAGTTTTGAAACACTCTTTTCGTAGAATCTGGAAGTGGATATTTGGATAGCTTTGAGGATTTCATTGGAAACTGGATTATCTTCACATAAAAACCAGACAGAAGCATTCTCAGAAACTATTTTGTGATGTTTGCATTCAACTCACAGAGTTGAACATTCCTTTTCATAGAGAAGCTTTGAAACACTCTTTTTGTTGTATCTGGTAGTGGACACTTGCAGCACTTGGAGGCCTATGGTGAAAAAGGAAATATCCTCACATAGAAACTAGACAGAAGCATTCTCAGAAACTTCTTTGTGATGTGTGTGTAGATGGCCGAATAGGAAGAGCTCTGGTCTACAGCTCCCAGCATGAGCGACGCAGAAGATGGATGATTTCTGCATTTCCATCTGAGGTACCGGGTTCATCTCACTAGGGAGTGCCAGACAGTGGGCGCAGGTCAGTGGGTGCATGCACCATGCGTGAGCCGAAGCAGGGCAAGGCATTGCCTCACTTGGGAAGCTCAAGGAGTCAGGGAGTTCCCTCTCCGAGTCAAAGAAAGGGGTGAAGGATGGTACCTAGAAAATCGGGTCACTCCCACCTGAATACTGTGCTTTTCTTACGGGCTTAAAAAACGGCTCACCACGAGATTATATCCCGCACCTGTCTCAGAGGGTCCTAAGCCCACGGTGTCTCGCTGATTGCTAGCACAGCAGTCTGAGATCAAACTGCAAGGCGGCAGTGAGGCTGGGGGAGGGGCACCCGCCATTGTCCAGGCTTGCTTAGGTAAACAAAGCAGCCAGGAAGCTCGAACTGGGTGGAGCCCACCACAGCTCAAGGAGGCCTGCGTGACTCTGTAGTCTCCACCTCTGGGGGCAGGGCACAGACAAACAAAAAGACAGCAGTAACCTCTGCAGACTTAAATGTCCCTGTCTGACAGCTTTGAGGAGAGCAGTGGTTCTCCCAGCATGAAGCTGGAGACCTGAGAATGGGCTGACTGCCTCCTCAAGTGGGTCCCTGACCCCTGACCCCCAAGCATCCTAACTGGGAGGCACCCCCCAGCAGGGGCACACTGACACCTCACACGGCAGGGTACTCCAACAGACCTGTAGCTGAGGGTTCTCTCTGTTAGAAGGAAAACTAACAATCAGAAAGGAAATCCACACGAAAAACCCGTCTGTACATCACCATCATCAAAGACCAAAAGTAGATAAAACCACAAAGATGGGGAAAAAACAGAACAGAAAAACTGGAAACTCTAAAAAGCAGAGCGCCTCTCCTCCTCCAAAGGAACACAGTTCCTCACCAGCAACGGAACAAAGCTGGATGGAGAATGACTTTGATGAGCTGAGAGAAGAAGGCTTCAGAAGATCAAATTACTCTGAGCTATGGGAGGACATTCAAACCAAAGGCAAAGAGTTGAAAACTTTGAAAAAAATTTAGACGAATGTATAACTAGAATAACCAATACAGAGAAGTGCTTAAAGGAGCTGATGGAGCTGAAAACCAAGGCTCGAGAACTACGTGAAGAATGAAGAAGCCTCAGGAGCCAATGCGATCAACTGGAAGAAAGGGTATCAGCGATGGAAGATGAAATGAATGAAATGAAGCAAGGAGGGAAGTTTAGAGAAAAAAGAATAAAAAGAAATGAGCAAAGCCTCCAAGAAATATGGGACTATGTGAAAAGACCAAATCTACGTCTGATTGGTGTACCTGAAAGTGATGGGAAGAATGGAACCAAGTTGGAAAACACTCTGCAGGATATTATCCAGGAGAACTTCCCCAATCTAGCAAGGCAGGCCAACATTCAGATTCAGGAAATACAGGGAACGCCACAAAGATACTCCTCCAGAAGAGCAACTCCAAGACACATAATTGTCAGATTCACCAAAGCTGAAACGAAAGAAAAAATGTTAAGGGCAGCCAGAGAGAAAGTTCGGGTTACCCTCAAAGGGAAGCCCATCAGACTAACAGCGGATCTTTCGACAGAAACCCTACAAGCCAGAAGAGAGTGGGGGCCAATATTCAACATTCTTAAAGAAAAGAATTTTCAACCCAGAATTTCATATCCAGTCAAACTAAGCTTCATAAGTGAAGGAGAAATAAAATACTTTACAGACAACCAAATGCTGAGAGATTTTGTCACCACCAGGCCTGCCTTACAAGAGCTCCTGAAGGAAGCACTAAACATGGAAAGGAACAACCAGTACCAGCCGCTGCAAGATCATGCCAAAATGTAAAGACCATCGAGACTAGGAAGAAACTGCATCAAGTAACGAGCAAAATCACCAGCTAACATCATAATGACAGGATCAAATTCACACATAACAATATTAACATTAAATGTAAATGGACTAAATGCTCCAATTAAAAGACACAGACTGGGCCGGGCGCGGTGGCTCATGCCTGTAATCCCAGCACTTTGGGAGGCTGAGGCGGGCGGATCACGAGGTCAGGAGATCGAGACCATCCCGGCTAAAACAGTGAAACCCCGTCTCTACTAAAAATACAAAAAATTAGCCGGGCGTAGTGGCGGGCGCCTGTAGTCCCAGCTACTTGGGAGGCTGAGGCAGGAGAATGGCGTGAACCTGGGAGGCGGAGCTTGCAGTGAGCCGAGATCCCGCCACTGCACTCCAGCCTGGGCGACAGAGCGAGACTCCGTCTCAAAAAAAAAAAAAAAAAAAAAAAGACACAGACTGGCAAATTGGATAAAGAGTCAAGACCCATCAGTGTACTGTATTCAGGAAACCCAACTCACATGCAGAGACACACATAGGCTTAAAATGAAAGGATGGAGGAAGATCTACCAAGCCAATGGAAAACAAAAAAAGGCAGGGGTTGCAATCCTAGTCTCTGATAAAACAGACTTTAAACCAACAAAGATCAAAAGAGACAAAGAAGACCATTACATAATGGTAAAGGGATCAATTCAACAAGAAGAGCTAACTATCCTAAATATATATGCACCCAATACAGGAGCACCCAGATTCATAAAGCAAGTCCTGAGTGACCTACAAAGAGACTTAGACTCCCACACATTAATAATTGGAGACTTTAACACCCCACTGTCAACATTAGACAGATCAACGAGACAGAAAGTCAACAAGGATACCCAGGAATTGAACTCAGCTATGCACCAAACGGACCTAATAGACATCTATAGAACTCTCCACCCCAAATCAACAGAATATACATTTTTTTCAGCACCACACCACACCTATTCCAAAATTGACCGCATAGTGGGAAGTAAAGCTCTCCTCAGCAAACGTAAAAGAACAGAAATTATAACAAACTATGTCTCAGACCACAGTGCAATCAAACTAGAACTCAGGATTAAGAATCTCACTCAAAACCGCTCAACATCATGGAAACTGAACAACCTGCTCCTGAATGACTACTGGGTACATAACGAAATGAAGGCAGAAATAAAGATGTTCTTAGAAACCAACGAGAACAAAGACACAACATACCAGAATCTCTGGGACGCATTCAAAGCAGTGTGTAGAGGGAAATTTATAGCACTAAATGCCCACAAGAGAAAGCAGGAAAGATCCAAAATTGACACCCTGACATCACAATTAAAAGAACTAGAAAAGCAAGAGCAAACACATTCAAAAGCTAGCAGAAGGAAAGAAATAACTAAAATCAGAGCAGAACTGAAGGAAATAGAGACACAAAAAACGCTTCAAAAAATTAATGAATCCAGGAGCTGGTTTTTTGAAAGGATTAACAAAATTGATAGACCGCTAGCAAGACTAATAAAGAAAAAAAGAGAGAAGAATCAAATAGACACAATAAAAAATAATAAAGGGGATATCACCACCAATCCCACAGAAATACAAACTACCATCAGAGAATACTACAAACACCTCTACGAAAATAAACTAGAAAATCTAGAAGAAATGGATAAATTCCTGGACACATACACTCTCCCAAGACTAAACCAGGAAGAAGTTCAATCTCTGAATAGACCAATAACAGGAGCTGAAATTGTGGCAATAATCAATAGCTTACCAACCAAAAAGAGTTCAGGACCAGATGGATTCACAGCCGAATTCTACAAGAGGTACAAGGAGGAACTGGTACCATTCCTTCTGAAACTATTCCAATCAATAGAAAAAGAGGGAATCCTCCCTAACTCATTTTATGAGGCCAGCATCATTCTGATACCAAAGCCGGGCAGAGACACAACCAAAAAAGAGAATTTTAGACCAATATCCTTGATGAACATTGATGCAAAAATCCTCAATAAAATATAGGCAAACTGAATCCAGCAGCACATCAAAGAGCTTATCCACCATGATCAAGTGGGCTTCATCGCTGGGATGCAAGGCTGGTTCAACATATGCAAATCAATAAACGTAATCCAGCATATAAACAGAACCATCAACAAAAACCGTATGATTATCTCAATAGATGCAGAAAAGGCCTTTGACAAAATTCAACAACCCGTCATGCTAAAAACTCTCAATAAATTAGGTATTGATGGGACGTATTTCAAAATAATAAGAGCTATCTATGACAAACCCACAGCCAATATCATACTGAATGGGCAAAAACTGGAAGCATTCCCTTTGAAAACTGGCACAAGACAGGGATGCCCTCTCTCACCGCTCCTATTCAACATAGTGTTGGAAGTTCTGGCCAGGGCAATAAGGCAGGAGAAAGAAATAAAGGGTATTCAATTAGGAATAGAGGAAGTCAAATTGTCCCTGTTTGCAGATGACATGATTGTATATTTAGAAAACCCCATCATCTCAGCCAAAAATCTCCTTAAGCTGATAAGCAAATTCAGCAAAGTCTCAGGATACAAAATCAATGAGCAAAAATCACAAGCATTCTTATACACCAACAACAGACAAACAGAGAGCCAAATCATGAGTGAACTCCCATTCACAATTGCTTCAAAGAGAATAAAAGACCTAGGAATCCAACTTACAAGGGACGTTAAAGACCTCTTCAAGGAGAACTACAAACCGCTGCTCAACGAAATAAAAGAGGATACAAGCAAATGGAAGAACATTCCATGCTCATGGGTAGGAAGAATTAATATCGTGAAAATGGCCATACTGCCCAAGGTAATTTACAGATTCAATGCCATCCCCATCAAGATACGAATGCCTTTCTTCACACAATTGGAAAAATCTACTTTAAAGTTCATATGGAATCAAAAAAGAGCCCGCATCACCAAGTCAATCCAAAGACAAAAGAACAAACCTGGAGGCATCACACTACCTGACTTCAAACTATACTGCAAGGCTACAGTAACCAAAACAGCATGGTACTGGTACCAAAACAGAGATATAGATCAATGGAACAGCACAGAGACCTCAGAAATAACACCGCATATCTACAACTATCTGATCTTTGACAAACCTTACAAAAACAAGCAATGGGGAAAGGATTCCCTATTTAATAAATGGTGCTGGAAAACTGGCTAGCCATATGTAGACAGCTGAAACTGGATCCCTTCCTTACTCCTTATACAAAAATCAATTCAAGATGGATTAAAGACTTAAACGTTCAACCTAAAACCATAAAAACCCTAGAAGAAAACCTAGGCATTACCATTCAGGACATAGGCATGGGCAAGGACTTCATGTCTAAAACACCAAAAGCAATGGCAACAAAAGACAAAATTGACAAATGGGATCTAATTCAGCAAAAGAGCTTCTGCACAGCAAAAGAAACTACCATCAGAGTGAACAGGCAACCTACAAAATGGGAGAACATTTTCGCAACCTACTCATCTGACAAATGGCTAATATCCAGAGTCAACAATGAACTCAAACAAATTTACAAGGAGAAAACAAACGACCCCATCAAAAAGTGGGTGAAGGAGATGAACAGACACTTCTCAAAAGAAGACATTTATGCAGCCAAAAAACACATGAAAAAATGCTCATCATCACTGGCCATCAGAGAAATGCAAATCAAAACCACAATGAGATACCATCTCACACCAGTTTGAATGGCAATCATTAAAAAGTCAGGAAACAACAGGTGCTGGAGAGGATGTGGAGAAATAGGAACACTTTTACACTGTTGGTGGCACTGTAAACTAGTTCAACCACTGTGGAAGTCAGTGTGGCGATTCCTCAGGGATCTAGAACTAGAAATACCATTTGACCCAGCCATCTCATTATTGGGTATATACTCAAAGGCCTATAAATCATGCTGCTATAAAGACACATGCACACTATGTTTATTGCGGCATTATTCACAATAGCAAAGACTTGGAACAAACCCAAATGTCCAACAATGATAGACTGGATTAAGAAAATGTGGCACATATGCACCATGGAATACTATGCAGCCATAAAAAATGATGAGTTCATGTCTTTGTAGGGACATGGATGAAATTGGAAATCATCATTCTCAGTAAACTATCACAAGAACAAAAAACCAAACACCGCATATTATCACTCATGGGTGGGAATTGAACAATGAGGTCACATGGACACAGGAAGGGGAATGTCACACTCTGGGGACTGTTGTGTGGTGGGGGGAGGGGGCAGGGATAGCTTCGGCAGATATACCTAATGCTAGATGACGAGTTAGTGGGTGCTGAGCACCAACATGGCACATGTAAACATATGTAACTAACCTGCACAATGTGCAGAGGTACCCTAAAAATAAAAGCATAAAAAAAAAACCAGACAGAAGTATTCTCAGAAAATTGTTTGTGATGTGTGTACTCAATTAACAGAGATGAACCTTTCTTTTGATAGAGCAGTTTTGAAACACTCTTTGTAGAATCTGCAAGTGGATATTTCGAGAGCTTTGAGGATTTCGTTGGAAAGGGAATATCTTCATATAAAATCTAGACAGAAGAATTCTCAGAAGCTTCTTTGTGATGTTTGCATTGAAGTCACAGAGTTGAACATTCCCTTTCATAGAGCAGGTTTGAAACACTCTTTTTGTAGTATCTGCAACTGGACATTTGGAGCGCTATTTGGCCTATAGTGAAGAAGGAAATATCTTCCCATAAAAACTAGACAGAAACATTCTCAGAAACTTGTTTGTGATGTGTGTAATCAACTAACAGAGTTGAACCTTTCTTTTGATAGAGCAGTTTTGAAACACTCTTTTTGCAGAATCTGCAAGTGGATATTAGGATAGATTTGAGGATTTCGTTGGAAATGGGAATATATTCATATAAAATCTAGACAGAAGCATTCTCACAAACTTGTTGGTGATGTGTGTACTCAACTAACAGAGTTGAACCTTTCTTTTGATAGAGCAGTTTTGAAACACTCTTTTTGTAGAGTCTGCAAGTGGATATTTGGATAGATTGAGGATTTCGTTGGGAAAGGGAATATCTTCACATAAAATCTAGAAGGACGCATTCTCAGAAACATCTTCATGATGTTTGCATTCAAGTCACAGAAGTGAACATTCACTTTCCTAGAGCAGGTTTGAAACACTGTTTTTGTAGTATCTAGAACTGGACACTTGGAACGCTTTGTGGCCTATGGTGAAAAAGGAAATATCTTCGCATAAAAACTAGACAGAAGCATTCTCAGAAACTTGTTTGTGATGTGTGTACTCAACTAACAGAGTTGAACCTTTCTTTTGATAGAGCAGTTTTGAAACACTCTTTTTGTAGAATCTGCAAGTGGATATTTGGATAGCTTTGAGGATTTCGTTGGAAACGTATTATATTCATATAAAAAGTGGAAGCATTCTCAGAAACTTCTTTGTGATGTTTGCATTCAAGTCACAGATTTGAACATTCTCTTTCATAGAGCAGGTTTGAAACACAATTTTCGTAGTATCTGGAAGTGGACATTTGGAGCGCTTTGAGTCCTACTGTGAAAAAGGAAACATCTTCCCATAAAAATAAACAGAAGAACTCTCAGAAACTTGTTTGCGATGTGTGTACTCAACTAGCAGGGTTGAACGTTTCTTTTGATAGAGCAGTTTCGAAACAGACTTTTTGTAGAATCTGCAAGTGGTTATTTGGATAGCTTTGAGGATTTCGTTGGAAATGGGAATATCTTCATATAAAATCTATACAGAAGCATTCTCAGAAACATCTTTGTGATGTCTGCATTCAAGTCACAGAGTTAAACATTCCCTTTCATAGAGCAGGTTTGAAACACTTTTTTTGTAGTATTTGGAAGTGGACATTTGGAGAGCTCTGTGGCTTATGGTGAAAAAGGAAATATCTTCCCTTAAAAACTACACAGAAGCATTCTCAGAAACTTGTTTATTATGTGTGTACCCAACTAATAGAGTTGAACCTTTCTTTTGATAGAACAGTTTGGAAAAAATCTTTTTATAGAATCTGCAAGTGGATATTTGGATAGCTTTGAGGATTTCGTTGGAAATGGGAATGCCAATATAAAAAGTAGACAGAAGCATTCGCAGAAACTTCTTTCTGATGTTTGCATTCAGGTCACAGATTTGAACCTTCCCTTTCATAGAGCAGGTTTGAAACATTCTTTTTGTAGTATCCGGAAGTGGAAATTTGGAGCGCTTTGAGGCCTGTGGTGAATGAGGAAACATCTTCCCATAAAAACTAGACAGAATCATTCTCAGAAACTTGTTTGTCATGTTTGTACTCAACTAACAGAGTTGAACCTTTCTTTTGATAGAGCAGTTTTGAATCACTCTTTTTGTAGAATCTGCAAGTGGATGTTTGCATAGCTTTGAGGATTTCGTTGGAAATGGGAATATCTTCGTTTAAAAAGTAGACAGAAGCATTCTCAGAAACTTCTTTGTGACGTTTCCATGCAAGTCACAGAGTTGAACCTTCCTTTCATAGAGCAGGTTTGAAACACTCTTTTTGTAGTATCTGGAAGTGGACATTTGGAGCACTTTGAGGCCTATTTTGAAAAAGGATATATCATCCCATGAAAACTAGACAGAAGCATTCTCAGAAACTTGTCTGTGATGTGTGTACTCAAGTAACGGAGTTGAACATGTCTTTTCATAGAGCAGTTTTGAAACACTCTTTTTGTAGAATCTGCATGTGGATATTTGCATAGATTTGAGAATTTCGTCGGAAACGGGAATATCTTCATGTAAAATCTACACAGAAGGATTCTCAGAAACATCTTTGTGATGTTTGCATACAAGCTCCAGAGTTGGACATTTCCTTTCATAGAGCAGGTTTGAAACACTCTTTTTGTAGTATCTGTAAGTAAACAATTGGGGCGCTTTGAAGCCTATGGTGAAAAAGCAAATATCTTCCCATAAAAAGTTGACAGAAGCATTCTCAGAAACTTGTTTGTTTTGTGTGTACTCAGCTAATGGAATTGAAACTTTCTTTTGAGACATCAGTTTTGAAACACTCTTTTTGTAGAATCTTCATGTGGATATTTGCATAGCTTTGAGGATTTCGTTGGAAACGGGAATAGCTTCATTTAGAAAGTAGACATAAGCATTCTCAGAAATTTCTTGGTGATGTTTGCATTTAAGACACAGAGTTGAACATTCCTTTCATAGAGCAGGTTTGAAACACTCATTTTGTAGTATCTCAAAGTGGACATTTGGAGAGCTTTGTGGCCTGTGGTGAAAAAGGAAATATCTTCCCATAAAAACTAGACAGAAGCATTCTTAGAAACATGTTTGTGATGTGTGTACTCAACTAACAGAGTCGAACCATTCTTTTGATAGAGCAGTTTTGAAACACTCTTTTTGTAGAATCTGCAAGTGGATATTTGGAGCACTTTGTGGTCTATGGTGGAAAAGGAAATATCTTCACATGAAAAACTAGATAGAAGCATTCTGACAAACTTCTTTGTGATGTGTGCATTCCTCTCACAGAGTTTAACCTTACTTTTCATTGAGCAGTTTTGAAACACTATTTTTGTAGTATCTGGAGGTAGACATTTGGAGTGCCTTGAGCCTTATTGTGGAAAAGGAAATATCTTCACATAAAAACTAAGCAGAAGCATTCTGACAAACTTCTTTGAGTTGTATGCATTCATCTCACGGAGTTGCACATTTCTTTAGATTGAGCAGCTTTGATACACTCTTTTTGGAGAATCTGTCAGTGGACATTTGGAGCACTTTGAAGGCTATAGAAGAAAAGAAAATATCTTCACATAAAAACGAGACAGAAGCATTCTGACAAACTTCTTTGTGATGTGTGCATTAATCTCACAGAGTTGAACCTTACTTTTCATTGATCAGTTTTGAAACACTGTTTTTGTAGAATCTGTAAGCGGACATTTGGAGCAATTGGAGGCCTATGGTGGAAAAGGAAATATCTTCATATAAAAAGTAGACAAAAGGCACAGCACCGCCGCAGGCACCGGGAGGTGCAGAGCACCGCCCCAGGCGCTGGGAGGCACACAGCACCACCACAGGCCCAGTCTCCACTCCCCAGCTGTGAAAGGATCACTGACTGAACCCCCAAGGTAGCCCACCAGGCCTCCATAGAGCTGCCCAGCATGGCCATGGCCAGTACCAAGAGTCGGTGGGAGACGGGTGAGGTACAGGCTCAGTCTGCGGCCAAGACTCCGTCCTGCAAGATGAAGGTAATGAAACAGAAGTGCAGCCACAACAAAACAGCCAGTTAATGTGGAAACAAAGTCGACAACTACTCAGACAAAGGTATTTCACTTTCTCCAGATTACCACAGAAGACAGCTCTGTGGATCCTCCTCAGATGAGATGATTTAATATGGTACTGGGGAAATGAGAAGCCATACGAGCACAAGTGCTCCCTGAGGGTGGGCCACCACTCCGGCTCATCTTCCATAATCGTCACTGCAAATTGTAGCCTGGGAACGCTCCAGCTATATTTCAGCTCGCCTTCGGGGATCGCCGCCTCCGAAGCACAACAACAAGCAATGCAGTCTGTCCATGGACCTTCGCAGAGACTCTCAGCACCTCCCGCCTCTCAGCAGAAATGCCCAACAGAATGGTCAGGACCAGCGAGCATGTGCACCTTAGCTGGTCCCGAGCAACAGGCCCGAGGTGGAGAAACCGCCCTAGCAGCTCTCTCGTGGCACCCAGTGCAGGCGGCGATTGCTGCTCAGGTGCCTCGGGCTGGCGGGGCTCCCTGGAGCATGAGGCACACCCTGCCCCAGGGCCTGTTTGACTGTCGCCCACGTGCTCTTCTCCTCTTCCACTGGCTCCCGATGCTCGGAGCCCCCCACGCTGGGCCCTCTGCAGCCCAGGGATGGGATTGAGTGGTGCTTCTCCGCCTGGTGCTGCCACTGGGACCACAGCCCTACTTCGTCACTGCGTCACCCCTGGGGTCTGCGCTGATGGGCGTGAGGTGGGAGGATGGGATCTGGGGTTGCCACCGCTGCAGCCAGCGCACCACTTGCAGGTGGCAGCTTCAGCTTGAGCTCTGGCAGAGGCTGGCGGGGTTCCCCTGGGATGGCCTCCTGGGCCCTGAGTGCACCACCCATCTGGCCAGAGGGTGCATGCCTCCTGCACCCCGGGCCAAAACCCATGTCCGGCGCTCCTGCCGCAGACTACCTGACTTGCCGCGGCTGGGCTGGCCCCCGGGGTCTGCGCGGCTGGAGGCGCTAGCCTGGTCGGGGATTCCCAATCCTCAGTGACCCCTGCTCCATGTGCTGGTGGCAGCTGCAGCTGCAGTGCCCGTGGGCTGACGTGGCTTCCCGGAGCTGCAGTGGCTTCCCGGAGCTGCGGCTGGCCATGCCCAAGGGCCCCACAGGCTGTGCTGCCCTTGCCAGCTGCTCCTGACCCATGCCCAGAGCGCAGGACCTGGCACTTGGCACCCTGCAGTCACGGGGTTGAGGCTGAGTGCCGGTTCTCGGCCTTGTGGTGCCGCTGGGGACACAGTCTGACTTCACCTCCCCGTCGCCCAAGTCTTGTGATGGGCACGTGTGAGGACGGGCAATCGGGGTTCCCAAGGCTGCTGCCTGCATGCCACTCCGTGGCCACTAGGATAGGGCTGAGGAGCCGCCAGGGGATGAGCACATCGTGGCCATAGGGATGGGGCTGAGAGTCTATCTTTATCGTTATGCACCTGCCCAGCCGACTTCCTGACAGCCACTACTGCAGCATCCTGTCAGGGATTCCTTGCTGTTGACGTGGGGATGGGGAGGGCATGGAGAATCAGGGATGGTCTGGCCATTGCTGCTGGTGCCTGATGTGCGGGTGGCAGCTGCACCTAGGGCACGGGCTGGTAGGTCTTCTCTTTTGGATAGTTTCCAGGTGGCCCATTGCACTGTGACCAAGCCAGAGGGTCCACTCCACCTTAGCCCACACTAGGAGTCCAGGGGCTACAGTTGTGGGTACTGTGTGGCCAACCAGAAGGGGCTCAGCAGCCAGTTCAGCTTTCCTGCTTTTGCAGGGCTTTCTTAAATTTTTTTTATTTAACATTTTCTAAAAATATATACAAAAAGAAGCATATCAAACATATTAGGAAGGTTGCACACAGGAAGATGGGGAATAGAAATGGGGGGTGGGAATGAAAGAAAATAAATGAGAGAGGGACTTTGTATTGATCAATGATAATAACTCAATCCTCTATGTCTTTGACAAGAAGGAGAAGGAAGAGGAAGAAAAAGAAAGTGGGATAAAGGATCAGAAAGGGAGGAAAATAGAAAAATTTAGAGTATGACTCCAGGGTAGACCTGTTTTGTTGTTGCTGGGTTGGTTGATTGGTTGTTTGGTTTGTTGTAATTTTCATATGTTTTGCCATGTTGACCAGGCTGGTCTCGAACCCCTAGCCCCAAGTGATCAACCCACCTTGGCCTCCCAGAGTGTTGGGATTACAGGCGTGAGCCACCACGTCCAGCCCCCACACTGCGTCTGGCCTCTGTGGTAGACCTCCCAGACAGGGTGGCCAGGCAGAGGCGCTCCTCACTTCCCATATGGGGCGGCCGGGCAGAGGCGCTCCTCACTTCTCAGACGGGGTGGCCAGGCAGAGGAGCTCCTCACTTCCCAGATGGGGCGGCCGGGCAGAGGCGCTCCTCACATCCCAGACAATGGGCGTCCAGGCAGAGGCACTCCTCACGTCCCAGATCCACAAAAGAAGTGAAAATAGCCTTAACTGATGACATTCCACCATTGTGTTTTGTTTCTGCTTCACACTAACTGATGTATTTTGTAATCTCCCCCACCCTTAAGAAAGTTCTTTTTAATCTCCCTCACCTTTGAGAAGGTTCTTTGTAATTTGTAATTCTCCCCACCCTTGAGAATGTACTTTGTGAGATCCAACTCCTGCCCGCAAAACATTGCTCCTAACTCCACTGCCTATTCCAAAACCTATAAGAACTAATGATAATCCAATCACCTTTTGCTCTCTTTTTGGACTCAGCCCACCTGCACTCAGGTGAAATAAACAGCCTTGTTGCTCACAAAAAAAAAAAAAAATAGACAAAAGCATTCTGACAAACTTCTTCATGATGCATGCATTCATCTCACAGAATTGAACCTTTCTTTTGATTGAGCAGCTTTGAAACACACTTTTTGTAGAATCTGCAAGTGTACATTTCGAGTGCTTTGAGGCCTATAGTAGAAAAGGACTTATCTTCACATAAAAACTGGACAGAAGCATTCTGAAAAACTACTTTGTGATGTCTGCATTCATCTCAAAGAGTTGAACCTTACTTTTGATTGGTCAGTTTTGAAACACCATTTTTGTAGAATCTGCAAGTGTGCATTTGGAGCGCTTTGAGGCATATGGTGGAAAAGGAAATATCTTCCCAACAAAACTAGACAGAAGCATTATGAGAAACTTCTTTGTGATGTTTGCATTCATCTCACACAGAGTTGAACTGTTCTTTTAATTGAGCAGCTTTGAAACCCTCTTTTTGTAGAATCAGCAAGAGGACATGTGGAGCCCTTTGAGGCCTATGGTGGAAAAGGAAATATGTTCACATAAAAACTAGACAGAAGCATTCTTACAAACTTCTTTGAGATGTGGTCATTCAGCTCACAGTGTTGAACCTTTCTTTACATTGAGCAGCTTTGAAACACTCTTTTTGTTGAATCTGCAAGTGGACATTTGGAGCACTTTCTGGCCTATTGTGGAAAAGGACATATCAACATATAAAAACTAGACAGAAGCATTCTGACAAACTTCTTCGTGATGTGTGTATTCATCTCACAGAGTTGAATCTTTCTTTTCATTTAGCAGTTTTTAAACACTCTGTTTGTAGAATCTACAAGTGGACATTTGGAGCACTTTGAGGCCTATGGTGGAAAAGGAAATATTTTCACAAAAAAACTAGACAGAAGCATTCTGATAAATTTCATTGTGATGTGTGCATTCATGTCACAGAGATGAACGTTTCTTTTGATTGAGCAGCTTTGAAACATTCTTTTTGTAGAATCTACAACTGGACCTGTGGAGTGCTTTGGGGCCTATCATGGAAAAGGAAATATCTTCACATAAAACCTAGACAGAAGCATTCTGACAAACTTCTTTGTGATGTGTGCATTCATCTCACAGAGTTGAACCTTACTTTTCATTGAGCAGCTTTGAAACACTCTTTCTGTAGAATCTGGAAGTGGACATTTGCAGCACTTTGAGGCCTATGGTGGAAAAGAAAATATCTTCACATCAAAACAAGACAGAAGCTTTTTGAAAAACTTCTTTGTGACATGTGCATTCATCTCAGAGAGTTGAACCTTTCCTTTGTTTGAGCAGCTTTGAAACAATCTTTTTGTAGAATCTGCAAGTGAACCATTCGAGCGTCTTGGGGTCTATGGTGGAAAATGAAACATCTTCACATAAAAACTAGACAGAAAAATTCTGAGAATCTTCTTTGTGATGTGTGCATTCACCTCACAGAATTGAACGTTACTTTTCATTGAGCAGTCTTGCATCTCTCTTTTTGTAGAATCTGCAAGTGGACATTTGGAGCGCCTTGAGGTCTCTGGTGGAAAAGGAAAGATCTTCACATGAAAACTAGACAGAAGCATTCTCACAAACTTCCTTGTGATGTGTGCATTCATCTCCCAGACTTGAAACTTTCTTTTGATTGAGCAGCTTTGAAACACGCTTTTTGTAGAATCTGCAAGTGGACATTTGGAGCACTTTGAGGCCTATGGTGGAAAAGGGAATATTTTCACATAAAAATTAGACAGATGCATCCTGACAAGCTTCTTTGTGATGTGTGCATTCATCTCACAGAGTTGTAACTTTCTTTTGATTGAGCAGCTTTGAAACACTCTTTTTGTAGAATCTGCAAGTGGACATTGGAGCACTTTGAGGCCTATTATGGAAAATTAAATATCTTCACATAAAATCTAGACAGAAGCATTATGACAAACTTATTTGTGATGTGTGTGTTCATCTCATAGAGTTGAACCTTTCTTTTGATTGAGCAGTTTGGAAACACTCTTTTTGTAGAATCTGCAAGTGGACATTTTGAGCACTTTGAGGCCAATGTGGAAAAGGTAATATCTTCATATAAAAACTAGATAGAAGCATTCTGAGAAACTTCTTTGTGATGTGTGCATTCACCTCCCAGAGTTGAATCTTTCCTTTGAAGGACCAGTTTTGAAATACTCTTTTTGAAGAATCTGCAAGTGGACATTTAAAGCGCTTTGTGTGCTATGGTAGAATAGGAAATATCCTCACATAAAATCTAGACAGAAGGAATCTGAGAAACTTCTTTGTGATGTGTGCATTTATCTCACCATGTTAAACCTTTCTTTGGATTGAGCAGTTTTGAAACTCTCATTTGTAGAAGCTGCAAGTAGACCTTTGGAGCGGTTTGAGGCCTATCCTGGAAAAGAGAATATCTTAACATAATAACTAGACAGAAGAATTCTGAGAAACTTCTTTGTGATTTATGCGGTCATCTCACAGAGTCGAAACTTTCTTTTATTTAGCATTTTGGAAACAATCTTTTTGATGATTCTGCTAGCGGACCTTTGGAGCGCTTTGCAGCCTATGGCAGTAAAGAAAATATCTTCACATAAAATCTAGACAGAAGGAATTTGAGAAACTTTTTGTGATGTGTCTATTCATCTCACAGAGTTAAACCTTTCTTCTGATTGTGCAGTTTTGAAACTCTGTTTTTGTAGAAAACGCAAGTTGACATTTTTAGCACTTTGAGGCCTATGGTGTAAAAGGAAATATCTTCACATAAAAACTAGACAGAAGATTTCTGAGAAACATCATTGTGATGTGTGCGTTCATCTCACAGTGTTGAACCTTTCTTTTGATTGAACAGTTTTGAAACACTGTTTTTGTATAATCTGCAATTGGACATTTGGAGCGCTTTGCTGTCTAAGGTAGAAAAGGAAATATCTTCATATAGCATCTAGACTGAAGCAGTCTGAAAAACTTCTTTGTGATGTGTGCATTCATCTCACAGAGTTAACTTTTTCTTTTCACTGAGCAATTCTGAAAATCTCTTTTTGTAGAATCTGCAAGTGGACTTTTGGGGCGCTTTGAGGCCTATGGTGGAAATAGAAATATCTTCACATAAGAACTAGACAGAAGCATTCCGAGATGTTTCTTTGTGAAGTGTGAATTCATCTCACAGAGTTGAATTTTACTTTCAATTGAGCAGTTTTGAAACACTCTTTTTGCAGAATCTGCAAGTGGACATCTGGAGTGCTTTGAGGTCTATGGTGGATAACGAAATATCTTCACATAATAACTAGACAGAAGCATTCTCAGAAACTTCTTTGTGATGTGTGCATTCAACTCACAGAGTTGAACCTTTCTGTTGTTGGAGTAGCTTTGAAACACTCCTTTCATAAAATCTGCAAGTGGACATTGGGAGCGCTTTGAGGCCTCTGGTGGAAAAGAAAACATCTTCACATAAAAACTAAACAGAAGCATTCTGTCAAATTTCTTTGTGATCTGTGCATTCATCTCACAGAGCTGAGCCTTTCTTTTCATTGAGCAGTTTGGAAATGCTCTTTTTGTACAATGTGCTTGTGGACATTTGGAGCACTTTTAGGACTATGGTGGAAAAGGAGATATCTTCAGATAAAAACTAGACCAAAGCATTCTGACAACCTTCTTTGTGATATGTGTATTCATCTCACACAGTTGAAACTTACTTTTGATTGGGCAGTTTTGAAACATCCTTTTTGTGGAATCTGCAGGAGGATATTTGGAGGGCTTTGATGCCTATTGTGGGGCCTATTGTGGAATAGGAAATATCTTCACATTAAAACTAGATAGAAACATTCTGAGAATCTTCTTTGTTATGTGTGCATTAATCTCAGAGAGTTGAACCTTTCTTTGATTGAGCAGTTTTGGAACACTCTTTTTGTACAATCTGCAAGTGGATGTTTGGAGCGCTTTCAGGACTATTGTGGAAAAGGAAATATCTTCAAATAAAAACTAAACAGAAGCATTCTGAGAAACTTGCTTGAGATGTGTTCATTCATCTCACAGAGGTGAACATTTCTTTTGATTGAGCTGTTGGAAACACTCTTTTTGTAGAATCTGCAAGTGGACATTTGGAGTGCTTTGTAGCCTATGGTAGAAAAGGTAACATCTTCACATAAAATATAGACAGAAGCAATCTGAGAAATTTTTTGCGATGTGTGCACTCAGCTCAGAGAGATAAACCTTTCTTTTGATTAAGCAGTTTTGAAACTGTCTTTTTGTAGAATCTGCAAGTGCACATTTGGAGCGCTTTCAGGCCTATTTTGGAAAAGGAAATATCTTCGCATAAAAACTAGACAGAAGAATTCTAAGAAACTTCTTTGTGATGTGTGCGTTCATCTCAGAGAGTTGAACCTTTCTTTTGATTGAGCAGTTTGGAAACACTCTTTTTGTACAACCTGCAAGTGGACATTTGGAGGGCTTTGCAGCCTATGGTAGGAAAGGAAATATCTTCACATAAAATCTAGACAGAAGCAATCTGAGAAACTTCTTTGTGGTGTGTGCATATATCTCAGAGTTAAACCATTCTTTTTATTGAGCAGTTTTGAAACTCTCTTTTTGTAGAATCTGCAAGTGGACATTTGGAGCGATTTGAGGCCTATGGTGGAAAAGGTAATATCTTCACATAAAAACTACACAGAAGAATTCTGAGAAACTTCTTTGTGATGTGTGTGTTCCTCCCACAGAGTTGAACCTTTCTTTTGATTGAGCAACTTGGAAATACTCTTTTTGTAGAATCTGCAAGTGGACATTTAGAGCATTTTGCGGCCTATGGTGGAAGAATAAGTATCTTCACATAAGAACTAGACAGAAGAATTTTGAGAAACGTCTTTCTCATGTGCTCATTCATCTCACAGAGTTGAACCTTTCTTCTTATTGAGCAGTTTGGAAACACTCTTTTTGTAGAATCTGCAAGTGGACATTTGGAGCGATTTGCTGCCTATGGTAGAAAAGGAAATATCTTCATATAAAATCTCGATAGAACTAATCTGAGAAACTTCTTTACGATGTGGGCATTCATCTCACAGAGTAAAACCTTTCTTTTGATTTAGGAGTTTTGAAACTCTCTTTTTGTAGCATCTGCAAGTGGACATTTGGAGCGCTTTGAGACCTGTGATGGAAAAGGAAATATCTTCACATAAAAACTACACTGAAGAATTCTGTGAAACTTCTTTGTGATGTGAGCGTTCGTCTCTCAGAGTTGAAACTTTCTTTTCATTGAGAAGTTTGGAAACACTCTTTTTGGAGTATCTGAAAGTGGACATTTTGTGTGCTTTGCGGCCTATGGTAGAAAAGTAAATATCTTCATATAAAATCTAGACAGAAGCAATCTGAGAAACATTTCTGTTATGTGTGCATTCATCTCACAGAGTTAAACCTTTTTTTGATTGAGCAGTTTTGAAACTCTCTTTTTCAAGAATCTGCAAGTGGACATTTGGAGTGCATAGAGGCCTATGGTGGAAAAGGAAATAACTTCACATAAAAACTAGACAGAAGAATGCTCAGAAACTTTGTGATGTGTGTGTTCATCTCACAGAGTTGAATCATTCTTTTAATTGAGCAGTTTGGAAACACTCGTTTTGTAGAATCTGCAAGTGGACATTTGGAACGCTTTGCAGCCTATGGTAGAAAAAGAAATATCTTCACATAAAATCTAGAAAGAAGCAATCTGAGAAACTACTTTTGTGATGTGCGCATTCATCTCACAGAGTTAAACCTCTCTTCTGATTCAACAGTTTTGAAACTCTCTTTTTCTAGAATCTGAAAGTGGACATTTGGGGCACTTTGAGACCTGTAGTGGAAGAGGAAATATCTTCACATAAAAACTAGACAGAAGAATTCTGAGAAACCTCTTTGTGATGTGTGCATTCATCTCACAGAGTTGAACCTTTCTTTTGATTGAGCAGTTGGAAGCACTCTTTTTGTGGAGTCTGCAGGTGGATATTTGGAGGGCTTCGAGGCCTGTTGTGGGGCCTATTGGGGAATAGAAAATATCTTCACATTAAAGCTAGACAGAAGAATTCTGAGAAATTTCTTTGTGATGTGTGCATTAATCTCACAGAGTTGAACCTTTCTTTTGATGAGCAGTTTTGAAACACTCTTTTTGTAGAATCTGCAATTGGATGTTTGGAGCGCTTTCAGGATTATTGTGGAAAAGGAAATATGTTCAAATAAAAACTAGACAGAAGCATTCTGAGAAATTGTTTGTGATGTGTTCATTCATCTCACAGAGTTGAACTTTTCTTTTGATTGAGCTGTTGGAAACACTCTTTTTCAAGAATCTGCAAGTGGACATTTGGAGCGCTTTGTGGCTTATGGTAGAAAAGGAAACATCTTCACATAAAATCTAGACAGAAGCAATCTGATAAATTTTTTGTTATATGTGCATTCATCTCAAAGAGGAAACCTTTCTTTTCATTGATCAGTTTTGAAACTCTCTTTTTATAGAATCTACAAATGCACATTTTTAGTGCTTTGAGGCCTACGGTGGAAAAGGAAATATTTTCACATAAAAACTAGACAGAAGAACTCTGAGAAACTTCTTTGGAATGTGCAGGTTCATCTCACAGAGTTGAATCTTTCTTTTGATTGAGCAGTTTGGAAACACTCTTAGTAGAATCTGCAGTTGGACATTTGGAGCACTTTGCGGTCAATGGTAGAAAAGGAAATAACTTCACATAAAAGCTCAAGAGAAGCAACCTGAGAACTTCTTTGTGATATGTGCATTCGTCTCACAGAGTGAAATCTTTCTTTTGAGTAGTTTTGAAATTCTCTTTGTAGAATCTGCAAGTGGACATTTGGAGCACTTTGAGGCCAATGGTGGGAAAGGTAATTTCTTCCCATAAAAACTAGACAGAAGAATTCTGTGAAACTTTTTGTGATGTGTGCATTCATCTCACAGAATTGAACCTTTCTTTTGATTTAGCAGTTTGGAAACACTCTTTTTGTAAAATCTGCAAGTGGACATTTGGAGCATTTTGGGGCCTATGGTAGAAAAGGAAATAGCTCTACATAAAAAATAGACAGAAGCAATCTGAGAAACTTCTTTGTGATGTATGCATTCATCTCACAGAGTTAAAAGTTTCTTTTGATTGGCAGTTTTGAAACGCTTCCTTTGTAGATTCTGCAAGTTTACATTTGGAGCGCTTTGAGGCCTATGGTGGAAAAGGAAATATCTTCACATAGAAACTAGAAAGAAGAATTCTGAGAAACTTCTTTGTGATGTGTGCATTCATCTCACAGAGTTGAACCTTTCTTTTGATTGAGCAGTTTGGAAACACTCTTTTTGTAGAATCTGCAAGTGGACATTTGGAGCGCTTTGCGGCCTAAGGTAGAAAAGGAAATATCTTCACATAAAATCTAGACAAAAGCAATCTGAGAAACTTCTATCTTATATGTGCA